>NC_000004.12:84375926-84527441 GCF_000001405.40 Homo sapiens | reverse complement strand
AAGTTAAAAACAAATCACACACCAAAAAAACTCCCAAACCCAACTGTCATTATTTAATAACTTTGAACTTGGTATGGACCTAAGAAGGCATCTTTTACAAGGGAAATGTGCAGTTCCAAGTCTTTTTCTTGATGATTGGGTCTGAATGTGTTAATCAATGCTGCCCTGTCATAGCCCCGACATAGGGAAAATGCTGAAATGTGATTTTTAAATCATAAAAATGTGCCCATAGTAATAGCTCCATCTTTTGCACAATATTTAAATCAATTCATTGATTTCCAGTTGCCTGATATTCTTATTTCAGTAACAAAATAAACGATACATAGTTCAGTAAAGTTGAATCCATTTGGGTTCATTTGTGCTCGAAGTCTGAAGCCAAGTAAGATCTGCTTCTTAGCTGCATGTCAGGGGATAAGGCATCAGTCTCTTTGTAAGGCTTGGTTTCCTTTTTTTTCTTTTATCGTACAGTTTCTAACCACGTTCATGAATAGATAAATTAAGGACAAAATACATCTATATCCCTCCTTGGCTCTTTGTTTATTTGCATATACAGAATTACTAATATAGTCCATGTCTGTAAATGTCTTAAAAATGTCTCCATTAAAAAAATCCAGAAAAATGATACTTTTTGACTTCACATTCCCCTTTTCCCTCTTTATTTTTCTGTTTTTTTTTTTTTTTTTTTTAACGGCAAAACTCCTCAAAAGGGTTGTCTATACTGGCTGTCTCCAGTTCCTTTCCTCATATTGTTTCTTGAATTCTTTCCCATATTCTTTCTTTGACTTCATGAGGGCTTTTGCCACCACCACCACCACCCTGTTCTTGTCAAGGTTGTTAATGATGTTCTTTTTGCAAAATCTGAGTGTCAATTCATCCATCTGACATGACCGACCCGCAGCATTTGACATGGCTGATCACCCCATGCTTTCTGATACACTTTTTCACTTTACTCTCAGATAATGGTATTCTCCTGGTTTTTCTTCTCCTTCACTGGAAACTCTTTCTAGTGTTTTTTGCTGATTCTTCCTTATATTCTTGATTTAAGGCTCAGGTTCCAGTCTTTGAAATCCTTCTTTTCCCTATCTATGCTTAGTATCTTGCTAATACCATTTAATCTCAACCCAGCTCTAAATATTATACAAAAGCAGATGTTCTCAAATTTATACCCAGCCCAGACCCCTTCCTGTGAATTTCAGGCTCTTATATGAAACGACCCCCGTGGCCTTTTGGATGTCAAAAAGGCATCTCAAAATTAACATGTCTAAAATTGAATTATTAGTCTTTCTAACCACCCCAAACCCTGTTGGCCTCCCTGCAGTCCACCTCATCTAAGTGAATGGCTGCTGCACAATTCCTGTTGTTCAGGCCAAATCCTTAAAGTCATCCTCCCTCCTTTTTATAACCCACATTCGACCTTTGCACAAATCCTGTTGTTTTTACCATAAAAATATATCTAGACTCTATCTCTCACTGTCTCCATTGTGATCACCCTGCTTTCTCTACTGTATTGTTTCAAAAGCCTCCCAGTTGGTCTTTCTATCTTTCTTTTCTTTCTTTCTTTCTTTTTTTTTTTCTGAGACAGAGTTTTGCTCTTGTCGCCCAGGCTGGAATGCAATGGTGTGATCTTAGCCCACTGCAACCTCTGCCTCCCAGGTTCAAGTGAGTCTCTTGCCTCAGCCTCCTGAAGTAGCCAGGATTACAGTCATCCGCCACCATGCCCAGCTAATCTTTTTTCTGTATGTTTAGTTAAGACGGGGTTTCACCATGTTGGCCAGACTAGTCTTGAATTCCTGATCTCAGGTGATCCACCCGCCTCGGCCTCCCAAAGTGCTGGGATTACAGGCGTGAGCCACCATGCCCAGCCTGGTCTTTCTTTGTCTTTGCGGCTCAGCAGTCTATTCTCCATACAACAGCCAAAGTGGTTCTTTTTTTTTTTTTTTTTTAAATTATTATACTTTAAGTTTTAGGGTACACGTGCACAACGTGCAGGTTTGTTACATATGTATACATGTGCCATGTTGGTGTGCTGCACCCATTAACTCGTCATTTAGCATTAGGTATATCTCCTAATGCTATCCCTCCACCCTCCCCCCAACCCACAACAGTCCCCAGAGTGTGATGTTCCCCTTCCTGTGTCCATGTGTTCTCATTGTTCAATTCCCATCTATGAGTGAGAACATGCGGTGTTTGGTTTTTTGTCCTTGCGATAGTTTGCTGAGAATGATGGTTTCCAGCTTCATCCATGTCCCTAGAAAGGACATGAACTCATCATTTTTTATGGCTGCATAGTATTCCATGGTGTATATGTGCCACATTTTCTTAATCCAGTCTATCATTGATGGATGTTTGGGTTGGTTCCAAGTCTTTGCTATTGTGAATAGTGCCACAATAAACATACGTGTGCATGTGTCTTTATAGCAGCATGATTTATAATCCTTTGGGTATATATGCAGTAATGGGATGGCTGGGTCAAATGGTATTTCTAGTTCTAGATCCCTGAAGAATTGCCACACCGACTTCCAAAATGGTTGAACTAGTTTACAGTCCCACCAACAGTGTAAAAGTGTTCCTATTTCTCCACATCCTCTCCAGCACCTGTTGTTTCCTGACTTTTTAATGATCGCCATTCCAACTGGTGTGAGATGGTATCTCATTGAGGTTCTGATTTGCATTTCTCTGATGGCCAGTGATGATGAGCATTTTTTCACATGTTTTTTGGCTGCATAAATGTCTTCTTTTGAGAAGTGTCTGTTTATATCCTTTGCCCACTTTTTGATGGGGTTGTTTGTTTTTTTCTTGTAAACTTGTTTGAGTTCATTGTAGATTCTGGATATTAGCCCTTTGTCAGATGAGTAGATTGCAAAAATTTTCTCCCATTCTGTAGGTTGCCTGTTCACTCTGATGGTGGTTTCTTTTGCTGTGCAGAAGCTCTTTAGTTTAATTAGATCCCATTTGTCAATTTTGGCTTTTGTTGCCATTGCTTTTGGTGTTTTAGACATGAAGTCCTTGCCCATGCCTATGTCCTGAATGGTATTGCGTAGGTTTTCTTCTAGGATTTTTATGGTTTTAGGTCTGACATGTAAGTCTTTAATCCATCTTGAATTAATTTTTGTATAAGGTGTAAGGAAGGGATCCAGTTTCAGCTTTCCACATATGGCTAGCCAGTTTTCCCAGCACCATTTATTAAACAAGGAATCCTTTCCCCATTGCTTGTTTTTGTCAGGTTTGTCAAAGATCAGATCGTTGTAGATACGCGGCATTATTTCTGAGGGCTCTGTTCTGTTCCATTGATCTATATCTCTATTTTGGTATCAGTACCATGCTGTTTTGGTTACTGTAGGCTTGTAGTATAGTTTGAAGTCAGGTAGCATGATGCCTCCAGCTTTGTTCTTTTGGCTTAGGATTGACTTGGCGATGCGGGCTCTTTTTTGGTTCCATATGAACTTTAAAGTAGTTTTTTTCCAATTCTGTGAAGAAAGTCATTGGTAGCTTGATGGGGATGGCATTGAATCTATAAATTACCTTGGGCAGTATGGCCATTTTCACGATATTGATTCTTCCTACCCATGAGCATGGAATGTTCTTCCATTTGTTTGTATCCTCTTTTATTTCCTTGAGCAGTGGTTTGTAGTTCTCCTTGAAGAGGTCCTTCACATCCCTTGTAAGTTGGATTCCTAGGTATTTTATTCTCTTTGAAGCAATTGTGAATGGGAGTTCACTCATGATTTGGCTCTCTGTTTGTCTGCTATTGGTGTATAAGAATGCTTGTGATTTTTGCACATTGATTTTGTATCCTGAGACTTTGCTGAAGTTGCCTATCAGCTTAAGGAGATTTTGGCCTGAGACGATCGGGTTTTCTAGATATACAATCATGTCATCTGCAAACAGGGACAATTTGACTTCCTCTTTTCCTAATTGAATGCCCTTTATTTCCTTCTCCTGCCTGATTGCCCTGGCCAGAACTTCCAACACTATGTTGAGTAGGAGTGGTGAGAGAGGGCATCCCTGTCTTGTGCCAGTTTTCAAAGGGAATGCTTCCAGTTTTTGCCCATTCAGTATGATATTGGCTGTGGGTTTCTTTTAACACTTAACTCACATAACTCAGTCCTCTGCTCAAAACCTCCCCCTAGTGAGATGGGAAGTCCCTGACTCCTGCCCACCACCTCTCCATACTGTCCCTTCCTACTCATTTCCTACCTCTCTGCCCCTCCTTACCCTCCCCAGGTACCCTGGCTTCTTTGCTAGCCTGTGAACACACCAGAGCCCAGGACCTTTGCACTTGGTGTCTTCTCTGCCTTGAGCCATCTTCTCCACAATAATTGCATGAGGCCCTCACTTGAATGACATTGTAATAGTAAACTCTTGCCTTCACTACATCATTTAAAATCGCACCCTTCACGCCGTCACCAATATCCAGCACCCCGTATCTCCTTCCTGCTTCTTTCCCTATAGTCATCTCACCTTTTGACATAGTATTTATCATCTCACTCCCTATTCCCCTACCCATTAAAATACAAGCTCTGTGTAGGCAGGGATTTTTGTTTGTATTCTATTTTATTTTATTTTTTTTACTGTATCTCCACTGCCTAGTTCACAGCCTGACACTTAGTGGATATGTAAATCTTTATTGAATGAGTAATTGATTGCACAACTTAGTCACTGAACATTTCAAATTCTTCTTGTATAAATATCATATTGCTAAGTAGTAATAAATAAAACATAAAACAGAGAAACATATAGAATTTTTATATGTAGAAGGGGCTTGGTAGTAACAGTTTGGTTGGAAGAGGAGTAAGAAACCCCACATTAAGTCTTCATTTTTATAGCAAGAACTATGATTTTACTTTGGTTGTATCTGGGCTAAATTGAGGGTGGAAATGATGAAAATGGGAGAGAGAAATAAAGTCACCTTACCAAGTTCCTCCTTGGCTCTGTTATTTCTACAAAACAATTGAGTTTATCAAAAAGCCTTTTCATATACATTATTGTTATTTCTTGAGCCTCATAACAATCTTCATGGGTAGGCATTACTATTCACAGGTGACAGATGGGAATCTGGAGTTGGGAGAGGTTAAGGAGCTGTCCCAGGCTGCGTAGCTACTTGGTTCCACAGACAATAAGAAAGGCATTTGCAATAGAGGACATCTATGTTCTTAGATGTGAGAATGCATTACTAAAATACCAAGATAAATGTGAAAGTACCTGTCAGATTCTTTGTACAGAATGGTATTCAATAAAAAGCCAGGTGTCTTAAACCAACCTTCTTCTGATCTTTATGAGCACAACACATTGCATATACCATAAGCTTTCATTTAGGGAAACATTCCCTTAGCAGAGCTCCAGCCATGGTCTAATTGCACATTTAATGCTCTACCTTTGCTTCCAAAAAAGCTGGAAGAAGGCAGGGCATTAGGTGTGGCCTCCTCTGGGTTCCTACACCTACTGCCTTGTGGACAGATGGGAGGTCACGCAAACTCCTCCTTGCTCTTTCTCATTCCCTTACTATCCTTTGTGGACAGAGCTGCTCTATTTTATACCTCTGCTGCCTTAATCAAATGGTAGGGTTTCCTTTTTTTTCAGCTGGTAGACTTGCCTCTTGGCAGCCCAGTATGACCCTTGTAGAAATAAGTCATGATCATTATAAGGGCCAATATAGGCTGAGGGATGAGTAAGATCTGCAGTAAGTGGAATATGAATTTAACGAGCTCATATTCATCTCTCTCTCTCTGAAGGAATTGCTACTCTAGCATAGCAGCTCTCAAATATTTTGGTCTCAGGATATCTTTTCATTCTTAACAATTATTGAGGACCCCAAAAAACTTTTGTTATGTGAGTTATAACTATCAGTATATACACTAGAAATTAAAACTGAGAGCTTAAAATTTAAAAAAGTATTGATTTTTTTAAAAAGTAACAGCAAAAAACCTATTACATGTTAACAAGGAAAGCATATTTTTATGAAGGATAACTATGGTTTTAAAAAATACAGTGAGTGGTATTGTTGATGTTTTTGTAAATATCTTTAACATCTGGTTTTATAGAAGACAGATTCTCATATCTGCTTTTGCATTCAATCTGTTGCAATATATTGTTGTTTTAGTTGAATCACATGAAGAAAATCTAGATTTACACAGATATGTAATTGGAAAAGTATGAATATTTTCATGGCCTTTTCAGATAATTGTGTATATTCTTCTTTGATGCTACATCAAAACTCAATAAGCATTCATTTCTAAAAGGTTAGTTACAAATTTGGAATCTGAAACCATATTTATGAAATTTTTGTACTCTGTTACATTAAACCCACCTGTCTTGCATTTTGAATGAATCTTCTACCCACCTGTGATTTTGAACATCAAACATTGGTCATTTAGAAAATGCTGGCTTACTAAGTTATGCAGATGTTCCAAATGTTGACACATTTCATTTTGAAACATTTTTAAAAATCACATGTGTTAATATCCTCACCTGTTATAGGCAGAATAATGGTTACCCCAAGGATATCCATATGATAATCCACAGAGTATGTGACTATGTTAGGTTCCATGGCAAAGGGGAGTTAAGGTTGCAGATGGAATTAAGTTTGCTAATGAGCTGACCTTAAATTAAGGAGATTATCCTGCATTATCCAGGGTTGCACAATGTAATTACAAGGATCTTTAAAAGTGGAAGAAGGAGTTGAAAGAAAGGCTCAGAGGAGGAAGATGTGATGTCAGAAGCAGAGCTCTGAGAGATGCTATGTTGCTGGCTTTGAAGATGGAGGAAGGGACCATGAGCCAAGGAATGCAGGTGGCCTCCAGCAGCTAGAAAAGGCAAGGAAACAGAGTTTCTCTCAGCACTGATTCTTCTCGGCCAGGAGGCACACAGCCCTGCTGACAACTTGATTTTAGCCCAGTGGGACCTGTTTCATACTTCTAACTTATACAACTACGAGATAAATAATTTGTGTTGTTTTAAGCCATGAAGTATGGGGTAATTCATTCAGAGAAATAATTTTTCTGACCACCAATCTCATTAGAAAAGTTCCTAAATATTGGGAAGTGGTCAAGTTCATGATGGCAAATAAGAGTATTCAAAAATTTTGCTTGAAACTGTGCATTTCACAATTAGCAACAAATATTGCCAGGTGCTTTTTAAAGTGAGAGGCTTACTTTGTTTATATTTAAGAAAATACCTGCTTAATATCCAAGTCTGTTTGTCAGTTGTTCTTTCAAGTAAAAATGATATTTTTTGGAATAAGTGGCCAGTTCACTTGCAACTGAACCACAAAGAAGCTTTATTAAAGGCAACCATCACACTTTAGTAGGCAACAGAAGTGTTTTGTTTTATAATACGTATACTTCCAATTTCATCATACCAAATACTAAAAAGATATTTACTCAAGAGTCAATATTTAATAAGAGTAATAATTTTTTTTTCTTTTTTGAGATGGAGTCTCACTCTGTCACCCAGGCTGGAGTGCAGTGGCGCGATCTTGGCTCACAGTAAGCTCTGCCTCCCGGGTTCACACCATTCTCCTGCCTCAGCCTCCTGAGTAGCTGGGACTACAGGCGCCCACCACCACGCCCGGCTAAGTTTTTTTGTATTTTTAGTAGAGACAGGGTTTCACCATGTTAGCCAGGATGGTCTCAATCTCCTGACCTTGTGATCCACCTGCCTCAGCCTCCCAAAGTGCTGGGATTACAGGCATGAGCCACCGTGCCCGGCCAAGAGTAGTAATTTTCACTGCTTCATAAAGGATATTTTAAAGTAAAACTTTCATCTTTTTTTTCTACAAGTATGTGGTGGTAAAGGACACAGTGACTACTAGTACAGTTAGTGTCATTACCAAAGTTCATTTTAAGATAATAGCACTACCATTGCTTTTGTGCCATAAATGTATATGTCAGGACAGTGTAAAAGGAAAAAAATGTCCTAGCATTATTATAAAAATAGTTTTGACCTTGGGATACCCAAGTTTCCATGGACCACTTTTTGAAAACCACTGCTTTATTATGAATTGGAACATGCATGAGAATTAAAAATTATTATTTGTTAAATTAAATAATTGTTTAAAAAGTTATTACCCTTAAATAGTTTGGAGGGCATTAAAATGCTGCTTACCTCTTAGCTTTCACACCTCTTATTTTTAGATGGTTTTCAGTCTTAAAATCATATCCCAAAAATCTATGGTAGGGATTCCCTGGTTTCCAGAAAGGAAAACAACAAACAAACAAAAACCTTTTCTGACATGAAAAATATTTCGAGTAAATTTTAAAAATAAGTTTGTGGTTAAAAAACAAAGTTATAAGTCTTAAGTAGAACTGGCCCTGCCATCCTGAGTGAAGTTTAACTCTCCTTAAAACCAAATTTATGCATTTACTCAGCAAGTGTTTACTAGATGCACTAAGCACTATGCTTAGCATTGTAAGTGAGAAGGTGAATAAGATACTCTTCTTATCTTTAAGGAGTTTACATTCTAATGAGGAAGAGCAGAAAGCTGACAATTTCAGTAATAAGAGGATAATTCAATGTGGAAGATGAACACAGGGTGCTGTGGAAACCCATAGAAGGGCTCCCATTCAGACCGGGGAGCTCATGGAGTGAGAGGTTCCAGAAGGCTTCTCCACAGCTGACGAGTGCACTGCTGCTTGACTGGTGTTGGGGTAGGAGCTGTGTGTGTGAAACTGAGGAAAGGTGGGGAGTGGATTCTAGTTTAGAGAGTAGCATGTGTCAAGGCACAGCAGTGAGAGAGAGTTGGCATGTAACTGCTGGTAGAGAGCCAGGTGGGAGCATGAGCTTAGTGTGAGGATAGTGCAGGGTCGGTACGCCAGGTAAAAGGTGACCCTACAGACAAGCAGGAGCCACAGCAAGAGTGCATAGTCTTGTCCTCCATAGCAAGCAATTGGACTTTGTGCCAAAGGCTTTAGGGGAACACTGTAAAATTTCTAGAGGAGAAGTCACCTAATTCTGGGCCTTTGTGCCCCAGATCCTTTTGTAGTTCTTCCCCTGTACTGCTCTGTTTGGTTTCTGAAGGCTACATTTCTCAGGTTCTAGTATCTACTGGCATCTGGCTGGGTTTGGCCAAAGGGGGATATAACTGGGAAGTTGCATGGTGACGGGAAAGCAGAAATCAAGGGGTCCCCCACCACCACCGCACCCCGACTTTCCACGTCAGGCAGCAATACCAGCTGCAACTATATCTCTCCTGGGACCCCATCTCTGGATAGGGTCCCACTTCTGCTGGGTGATCCCAGACTCAGGCCTTCAGTAATAATCCCACTTCCCTTTGTTCCTCTACCCTTGGGCTGGTAGTGGCTCTGCTGCTGTTGCTATTCCCTGGGCTGCCTCTCCATCCTCTCTTTCGCTTCCAAGCTCTTCCATCACCTGTGTAATCTATTTTCAGTATTTAGTTCCATTTGCTTTTCAGAGTCATTTTTTTCCTGGATGGTTCCTGACTGATACAAAAATGATATAATCATTTAACATTTGGGAAATATCACTCAAACTGCAGGGGAAATGGATCGCGTGGAGGAAGACAGAAGCCAAGAGACCAACTGGAGGTGATGCGTTAACCTAAGCAAGGAGTAACAAGAGCTTGAATTAGGCAATGCCCAGGGTTCAAAATGAAAGAAGTGAATCTGAGAAATAGAAAGAAGGTAAAACCCACAGTAGTTTGTGATTGACTGTGAGAGAGGTGTTAGAGTTATATCCATGTTTCCAGCTTGGGCAGATGGGCAGATGATGAGGTCATTCCCTAAGGTGGGAGCTACTGGGGAAGGTAGGAAGATGATGGGTTCCATTTTGGACATGTAGAGTTTGAGGGGTCTGTGAGCTCAGGTACCAGACAGGTTGGGGGTAGAGCTCCACAAAGAGGTCTGGGCTGGAGAAGAATATGAGAGCATCATCAGAATATCATTGGTGGTTAAAACCATAAAAGTAGCAGGATCATGCCAGATAGTGGCTAGAATAAGGATAAAGAGAGGGGAGGGGAAAGAACAGATGGGAAGAGAGGCGTTAGGGGTCTACAAAATTCTTTCAGCAGGCCACTTTCAGATTTGCAAGAGTCCATAATTATTTCCCCAGTTGTTGATTCAGAGCTTTTACTTACCTCTGGTCAGAGAAGGTAGGTCAGAAAAATACTTTGGGAAAAATCTGGTTTGAATAAAAGAAAAAGGTTAGAAGGTAGTTACAAAGATACTAACTCAGACATGTCAACCAAGGATTTACCACTTGAAGCTGCTGCTTCATCAAGCTCCCCATATGAAATGAAAAATTCAGTAGATATTGTCAAAAGTCAGTTTTCCTAAATGATAATAAATATGAACCTATGAACCAGTTTTAAATTATTATTTAGCACAGTGCTTTAGATGTTCACAAAGGAAGACATTGATCTGTGTTGGCAGGATCAGAAAATGATTTGTGGGCCAGGTGCGGTGGCTCATGCCTGTAATCCCAACACTTTGGGAGGCTGAGGCGGGTGGATCACCTAAGGTCAGGAGTTCAAGACCAGCCTGGCTGACCTGGTGAAACCCCATCTCTACTAAAAATACCAAAATTAGCCAGGTGTTGTAGAGCACACCTGTAATCCCAGATACTCAGGAGGCTGAGGCAGAAGAATTATTTGGACCTGGTGGTGGAGGTTGCAGTGAGCTGAGATTGCGCCATTGTACTCCAACAGCCTGGGCGACAGAGCAAGACTCTGTCTCAAAAGAAAAAAAAAAGATTTTTGAAGGTGAGGAGTGAGGGTGGGCTGGGATTTAGCTGGCAGGAGGGGCAGGTGATCTCACTTTGGAGGAGAGGTCAGCATGAGGGTGAAGAAATGGGTTTGTACCTGTTCAAGGGATGAATGGAAAACAATGGGAAGACAGCAGAGCACTTATGGTAGACAGTGAGGACACATATGGTAGCACTAGAATACAAAATGCCAGGTTGAAAGTCATGATGATGATGAGGAGGAGTTGGACTTCTGTATATGACTCCTAGGGGTGGAAATTGAGAAGTGGGACAAAGTTACAGGCATCAGATTTTAGCTGTACTGGAGATCCCCAGAGATGAAATCCCCTGCCTTGGGAGGTAGTAAGTTCTCTGTCACTGCAAGTATTCAAGCACATGCTCAAAGAACAAAGGATGTTGGAGAGCCCAGTGGGACTGGATTCATTTTTCCCAAACTGCTCTTCAAGGCCCATTAATGAGTCATGAAATCAGTTTAGTGTTCTATATTAGTTTGTTAGGTCTTAGTTTGCTAGTCACAAACTGGGTGGCTTAAACAACAGACATGTATTGTCTCTCACAGTTTGGGAGGTTAGAAGTCTGAAATCAAGGTGTCTGCAAGGTTGCTTCCTTCTGAGGGCTGTGAGGGAAAGATCCATTCTAGACTTATCTCCTTGGCTTGCAGATGGCTGTCTTGTCCTATGTCTCTTCACAGCATTATCCTTCTTGCACACCACTGTGTTCAAGTTTCACCTATTTATAAGGATACCAGTCATACTGGATTAGGGCTCACCCTAATGACCTCATTTTAACTTGATTACTTCTGAAAAAAGACAATCACCAAATAAAGCTGCCTTCTAATGTATAGGGTGTTAGGACTTCAACCTGTAAGATTTGGGTGGGGACACAATTTAACACATAGCATGTGACTTAACCAGAATTTTAAAAGGATGAAATAGGATATAACAGAATAGAAAACACTAGAATATACCAGCTCTATACATATGTGTGTGTGTATGCTCGGTTGCAATGTGAAATGTCATCATTAAAATTCCTAAAGCTGAGAATGTGGAGTTGGGATAAAGCAAAAGTTCAAAGGAAGATTTAAAGTGGTTTTCCCTCCCACTTATACATGGGGAAGATGCATCTGGGTGACTCCACCTTGTTCCTTCTGCTCAAGATCCCTCAGCTCTGTGGCTGCAAGGCAGGCCCCAGGTTCTCTTGGTGGTTCATGTCTGCCGGTCCATTTTGGCTGTGTCTGGGCCTCCCTGATCCATGCTATTATGTTTGTCCTGCCTGCTGTTATGTACACTAGCCTTTATTAAATTTTGTTCCATGGGTTCAGGAACCTTGCTGTGCTTCTTTTTTCCTACAATGCTTTTACTCTTACTTAAAATTCCATTTGTAGAACTAATTTATTCTAAGCCTAACTTTATGACATTAAAGTGAGTAACATGATATGAACTATATCTTATCTTTGTTAAAGGAAAATACTAGTTAGAAAAATATAGCTGTGTGGAAGCATACTATATTTCAAGTAATTGTGGCATTAGTCAGGGCTAAAAATATAAATCACATCACCCTCTGCTTGGCGAGTCTAGTAAGTGCTCCAGGTAAAATTTCCAGTGAGAGTTCGATACTTATTGACAGAGGAGGTAGGACTGGTCTTGGCTGTGCATTGTTTATGCCTGAATGATGCTTCGCTTCATTCAGAATTTAATCAAATTTGTGACTTGGCATCTGTAGTCATCTGGGTGACTGTATTTTTTTTGCATTTGAATCAACTGACAGGAAAATATATCTTTGTATGTAACTGGCAGTTTTTCTTAACTATAGAAAGGGGCACCCATTGCACTACTTTGCCAGTCAGGCTTCTGAAGCAAAGGTCACGACAAAGTGATATAAATGGGTGGTTCACAGTAGGCTGCTACGGTCACACAGAATGGATTAATCTGTTCCTTTTTATTACAAAAAAATTCTATGCATCATAATCAGTGTACTGTGTAAACATAGTACTCAGAATCTCTCTTCTGCAAGTAAACTATTTAGTGTCAATTAAGTATGGAGATTAAAGCAATGCAAGTCCATTATAGAGTTTTAATTTTATGTTACATCTTCTTTCCTGTTAATTGAATCTTAGTTAAGAATCAGAGTTTGCACATGAAAGGATATTAGGAATCTCAATCCTAAGTCACTATATATATTTTTTTTTGAGACTGAGTTTTGCTCTTGTTGCCCAGGCTGGAGTGCAATGGTGTGATCTTGGCTCACTGCAACCTCTGCCTTCTGGGTTCAAGCGATTCTCCTGCCTCAGCCTTCCAAAGTAGCTGGGATCACAGGCACGTGCCACCAAGCCTGGTTAATTTTTTGTATTTTTAGTAGAAACAGGGTTTCACCATGTTAGCCAGGCTGGTCTCGAACTCATGACCTCAGGTGATCCACTCGCCTTGGACTCCCAAAGTGCTGGGATTACAGGTGTGAGCCACTTTGCCCGGCCCCTAAGTCATTATTATACTACTAAGCTCTTTAGGTAAAACCAATAGGTGTTTTTGCTGAGTGATAGGTTTAAATATAACTCCTTTGTCACCAATTCTGAATTTAGGAAACAGCTTTACTTTGTAATCTGTATGGACATAATAAAAGTAAAAATAGAAACTGTATTTTAACTGGTGGAAGAGATGGTTATAGCCATAAGCCACTTAAAAAATATCTACCGCAAGGGCAGACTAACATCAACACATCTTCTGCAAAGCCTGAGATAAGGGGAGGCTGATGTAGAGAGTCTTTCTTTAGCAAGCCCCTGTCTCCACCCTAAAAGGATAGGAACCAGGTAGCAGGCCAATAAGAAAAAGAATTCAAAGATCAACCTCTTTGCTTTCACAGCATTGGCCACATTATTCACCATCCATGAATCAAACGAGACTCCAGGTTCCAGCTCAGGAAAAGTGATGCCAGGGACACTGCTGGAGTTACAGCCATTCAATCCTGTGAAAGTTTTTACAGGCAATTGGGTAGCTCCGCACTGCTGCTAAGTACCTCTTTTATTCACCTCTTCTTAATCTATTCACATATTTATCTTAACAATTTCTTGAATTTTTCTCCCTTTTCATGTTACAAACTCTTTCCTGAATCTTTCCATTGAATGCATGTTTCCCATTTACCTGATGAATTGCCTCAGCCCCTCTGTTCTCCTACCCTAAACATCTGTTTTTCTCTATACCTTGCCTCCATTCCTTCAACTCCAAGGAAAGGCTTACCTTGCCACCTATTCTCACCCTCCTGGATATTCAATCATCCTGTCTTTCTCCAGCATCTTCACCGTTTTTGTCTTCATTTTCTTCCTTTTGGCTTTCTACAAAAATGCACAAGAATATCCGGTCTAGAGGAAAACACACACGCACAGTCAAAAGTGAAGAGGCCCAACTTAGATGAAATTCTGTCTCACCCGCAGCTTTCTCTCTGATCAGAAGTTTTCTTCTGAATGAACTCCCATCCATAGTTCTTGTTGACTAGGCCACCAGCACGGTGCTTATGAGTTAATCATTGCCTTGTATTGCTAGTTATCTTCTTACCTGTAATGATCAAGCTATCGGTAGGCTCCTTCAAGAAGGGACCTAATAGTTTTTGTTATAACTCTCAGTGCCTAGCTGATTTGAGATCAAGACTATAGTCTATATTGATGTTCTGGATTATGTGGACATAGCAAATAAAAAAAGTTGCATTAAAAATATTAGAATAATTAAACAGAAGTAGATTTGTGATGTAGTGGCTAAACAATAATGCCAGTGAACCTCATAAGGAGCTTTCTACTGAAGATTCCCAGGTCCCTTCTCATACCAGGGCAGTTCTTTGTTCCCCTTTTTCCATAACTGCAGGCCCAAAGGAGTTAAGTTTATTTTCCTCTCTTCTTAGCAGTGGCCATTATCCATCCAATTTCTCAGTATCAGAGCCTCTCAAAGCTTGGGATGGACATAAGCTACTTCCATTTTTTGAAAGCTCCTGGTATATTAATGGATAAATGAATTTCAGAATAAGATTATAAGAATTATTTAGCAATTTAGCACTTTTAACATATGCATTGTTATTATTCATGGGATAATTAAAGGATTTATTAAAAATATTAATGTAGATCTTACACAGGCTATGTGGTTGGATCGTGGGACATGGGATTAAAATCAAATGGTGATTGTCTTTTTCTTTCCACTGGTCAGCGTATGTGATTATATGTGATTATGTGCATATTCTTTCTTGGAGACAACTTCCAAAGTGTAAATTTGAGGCCCTTTGTGTGTGGAAGCTCCAGGCCAAGTAGCTTCCCTGTACTGTGTTCCTGCTTCCTTCAGTACACACAGACACAGAGAGATACAGACACACAGACACACGGACACACATGCCAGGTGATAGGCTCTGCTTGGAGATAAGCTCTCCCCAAGACCGGCTCAAGTGGTAGGAAGTCTCGCAGGTATCACCCCTTTTTGCTGTTCCTAAATATAAGGGTATAGAACTACTAGGCTTTGAGGGAAAACAAAAAATGAGCATGCTTATGTTAGTAACTTTGGGAAACAAATAGAAACAAAGGTTTTCTATTTCTAGTTCCTTATATATACCTGCTAACTCCCTGAGCTGAAGTAGCCTCTGAAGGCTCTGTGATTCTGTTCTCCCTTTTATTAATCTGAGGTAAATCTTATCAAAGCAACTTGGTTACTCTTACTCAACCTTTTGTGAAGACCCCCTTGCTCCACCATGGTCCTTTCTCTCGGCCCTAAGAAGTTCAGTGTAGTCATAGGGCACTCCAGTACCCTGCTAGCATCATTGAAGCCTGCTCTCAGGTAAGGAGCTGCTAAACTCATTACACCTTGACTCACATAATTGATAAGGCATATTACTCAGCCTTTCCAGGGACTTTCCATTTTAACCAAAGACAAAGCCTTACTTTTAAAGAGAAATAATCTGTAAAGCACCATAGTGCTACGTAGAACGGAAACTACTGCTGTTAACTATTTAGGCTTTTAAGCTTCTGACTTTTCTGCTGTAAGGAATTTTAAATTTTGATATAGACAGAACTGGTTAGTGATAACTAGAGTTTCGCTTCTTGCTCCATGCCGTTAATGTACAGAAATGATGAAACAGAGCAAATTCATCTATCAGCTATGTAGAACAGTCTATGAAATATATTTATTTATAACAGAATGACCATAGTATTTAAGCATTCTTTTATAGAATACCTACTCCTTCAGGGAAAAAAAAACACCGTAGTATCACTGCTCAGAATTTTATTATAGTTTAGTATTATTGGCTTGCATTTTTGTAATTTTATAAGAAAATTTCCATTAAATATCTGATTCATTTTTTTGGCTCATGATAATGTCTAACAGCTATAACACCAGCACACCAGTGTCTGCATTAGACAAATATAAGACCAAGTATGATTAACCTATAAACTATTTTTAATTACCTTTTACTGTTCTTTAAAATAGTATGTTTTTGAGGAAGCAGAAGCAGAGTTGGAGTACCTTGATATTACAGAGCTTTATAGAGCAAGTATATGGACTTGGATTATTCATCATAATTTGCAAAGATTCTGCTCTACAGAATTTTTGCAGCAACATCTCAAATTTGTTGCTCTGGTGAATGTCATAATGAGGACATTTACAGTGTGAATTCTGGAGAAGACTGAAACATTTCAAATCTTTATAGCATTTTAATGTTCTGTTGTCCTTTTTGATAATCAGATCTTGATTAAGAGGTAGAATTAACACCCAGTAGGACATCAACATTTCTTGACTTGAATCCTCTGCGTATCTTTTGTCTTTAGGACAGTTGAGGAATGATTTATGGACTTTGTGACTCTGAAACAAAAAAAGTATCTAAAATGCGTATTTGTTATTTTCTACAAGCCAATTACATCTTGTTTAGAGTATGACACACAAGGTAAACCTGGAAGGAAAAATAATTAAAGTGCTGTCATTTTTTCACATTGCCTTATTATGATGTTTTAATTCATTCTTACTTTTATAGAGCAGTCATTCCCATGTCCTTCTCCTTTGGGGTCTATTCCCTTAGTTACCGGCAATTTGCCACTTCCTCTCCCAGCAAGTTTCCTTAGGTGAAGACAATAGTGACTCCTACCATATAGAACATTGCACACTTTATGGGGTGCTTACACTCATATTCTTGGTATTTTTCACAATCCCTAGTTTTTAAAAATAGTTTTATTGAGCTATATTTCATATGCCATAAAATTCTCCCATTCAAAGTACTCAGTTCAGGGTTTTTTAGCATATTCAGAGTTGTGCAACCATCACCACAATCTGATTTTAGAACATTTCAATATCCCCCAAAGAATCCCCATTCTCATTAGCAGTTACTCCCCATTTCTGCTCCCACACCACTCTGGCCCTGTCCCATTCCCAAGCAACCACTAATCTATGTTCTATCTCTATGAATTTACTTATTTTGGACATTTCACATAAATGAAATAATATACAGATTTTTGTGACTGGCTTCCTCACTTAGAGTATTGTTTTCAAGGTTCATGCATGTTGTAGCATGGATGAGTAATTATTCCTTTCTATTGATGAACAATATTCCATTGTGTGGATAGACCACATTTTATTTATTCATCAGCTGATGAGCCTTTGTATCGCTTCTAATTTTTGCTATTATAAATAACGCTGCTATCAACATTAACGTAAAAGTTTTTATGTAGACATATATTTTCATCTATATAAGGATGAGGAAAATCAGACTATGAGTGCTAGAATCTAGGCTTTCTAACTCCTAATATGGCACTCTTTCTACTCACTATAGTCCAGAAATTTTAGAGATACAAGTTATTTTTAAAAATCTAGTGTCACTCATTGTTTCTGTTTCTGGACTTGATTTGCATCCAATATGTGGGAACATATTTTGATTTTTTTCTCCAGATATTTTAAACACTTTTATATTTGCTCATATATCTCTTAATAACTCAGATTGCAGATAGACCACATTGCCATCCTTTTAGCAGGTCTCTAAAACCTGGTGACTTTAATATAATTTTTTAAAATAATAAATAATTCTGAAGGAATTCTGTGGAGAGTTCTTAGGGAATGAGCCACCCCTTGTTATGGGCCTTAGAAAGCTGAGCAGATGAATGCTGTGTGAATGACTTGGCTGTAATCAATCAACATAATGTAAACGATGTGAAATTAAAATTGAGTGCCTGAATGAGCGGTGATTACACTCATTCTGCACTACTCCAAGTACAGAAACAGTGTGCAGCTCTCAGGTAGCAACTTCCAAGAAAACAAGTCCTCTGGAAGTCCACCCACAGCAGCTGGTTGCCACTATTTTCATCTGTGCCCTTCTTCAGAGTCTGCGGGGCTTCCTCAGTGGTTTCCTTATTCTAGCCCCATAGTCTGCCTCATATTTACCTTTAAATTGCCTCTTTTTATGCACCATAAGAATGACCTAAATAAACTTCCTCTTTCACTCATCAGTATTTTTAAGGGAAAAATTAGGTCCGTCACGGTTGAATAACCTGCTGGCCCAAGTTCACACAATTCTGGGACTCCTTAATCCTAATACATGGTAATCTTAACCCAAGAGAGGCAAAAAAACCTGAGAACTGTGGCTGATTGCAAGACATGACATTTGCTTTCTAAGCAATCTGAACAATTTTATTTGTCTTTGGCTTAGACTCCTGAGGTGGGACTCTCAAGCGTGGCTTAGGGAACTCCAAAACTCTGTTCTTACCTTTGTGGCGGTTACTGTCCTATTCTGCCGATTTTGATACATTATTTCCATGTGTCTGATATCTAACTCTCCCATGGGGCTGGGCGGGATGCTTCTGGCTCCTCCCTTAGCCTGATCCTGTGGCGTCTGCTTCCATTATGCCTGCATTCTGCTTTTTTTTTTTTTCCTCCATCTGATTGAGGTGTGGGTGGTCAAGTACTACAAAATTGGATCCAGGAAATAGTGGGCTAACTCTTATGGAAAGAACTCAAATAGTTGGCACAACTAGAGGGAAATTTGAGGAAAGTGAATATTTTCAGGCAGAACTCATAGTTTCCGCCTCTATGAAGCAAGGCCCTTTCCTCACCTCTCCATCTATGTCAAGAGCATAGATTAGGCACTTAGCAAATACTAAAATGTATTTTTGTCTCATCCCTTCTCTTGCCAATATCACATTAATTTATTTCTTGATTAAATGCTTTCTTTCTACCTACAATGCTCTTCACTAGAGCCACAGTTGTCTTTCTATCTTTATGCAGATCCTCCTTCTCTTTTAAGACCCACTATAAGTGAGTCACCTTTTCCAGCAAAGTTTTATCTTCCAAGACCTACCCTTTAACAACACTGTACAATTCTGAATTCGTAACATTTTGTTTATGCTTTTCAATCACAAACTCTTCTAAATGATGCCTAATGATATCCTGACATTTCATATATTGCACCTAGTTTCTCCAATGGCAATAGAACTGCTCATGGCCAAGAGCTGTGCTTTCTATATCTGTGAAATTTCCACAATTGTACTGGGCACATGAAACGAAGTTACTAAGTGCCAAACACTTTCATTTAAACCTAATTTATAATCTGGAGTTGAAGTTTAATTGTAACTACATCTGCTTTATATGCAGCACACATACTTTCATTATCAGTCACCCATGCAAGATCAGGATCAAAAAGAAAATGCATGTGGGGTGGTGTCGACTGGTAGATGTTAGGCATTGACGGTGTGCCAGGTACTGAGCTGAGAACTGGGGATGCGAAGACGAATTAAGGTATGGTTCTGCTCCCAAAAAGGTTATAGTCTGGCAAGGGAGACAAATATGTAAGCAAATAAGTTCAATGTTGAAGAAACAGGACATTCTGGATCTAGAACAACACAAACAAAAGTGCAAAGAAGGGGCTGAGTATAGTGTGTGTGTGTGCACGTGTGTGTGTGCGTGTAAAATTGATAGCAGCTTAGAGGAAGGAAAGAATGGGCCATATGAAGGCAATTGAAAGTTTAACAAAAAATTGAAATAGACTGTCAGTGCTGTCTAATAGAATTTTCAGCAATAACAGGAATGTTCTATATCTGTGCTGTCCAATGTGGTAGCCACTAGTGACATGTAACTATGGAGCATTTGAAATGCATCTAGTGTGACTGAGAAACTGTATTTTCATTGTCATTTTTTAAAATTAATTTAAATTTATATAGTCACATGTGACTAATGGCAATTATAATGCACAGTCCTAGACTAGATAGCCAAACTAGATGTAATGGAGTTTTCTGGGTCATGTGCTGAATGACATCATTCATTCTACCTGGGCTACCTATGCTCCAGACTGATGGGTCTGGGAGAAAAGGATATGCTACGGTGAATGACTGAGTTTTCTCACATCATCTTTAAAACCCTAGTTTTTTCATTCTTAAAATGACAGTAATAATGTCCTCCTCACAGGTTTTGGGGAGGATTAAATAAGATACTATATTTGAAATTGCTTTGTAAATTTAATATATGTAAAAACACTTCCTAAACGCTATAGTTCTTAAGCAGTTATTCTCAATGGGGGGCATTTGACAAATCTGTGGGTGCTTTCCGCTGGTCAGATTGGTTAGGAATGACACTGGCAATTAATTGGCATAATAGGGTCCAAAGAGGCTAAATGCCCTGCAGTGCATGGGACATTCCCACCAAAGTAAAATTTCCAAATCTCACAATGGGCATTTATAGAAGTGACAAGCCTACTTACTGTTGTTGAGCCCAGAATTTGCCCTGTTTAATATATAAACACAAAGTATTTTATATAGTTTCAATAAATTCTGAATTATCCAGGAATGTACATTAAGGGAAGAACACACTTTGTTTCATTTAAGAGTTATTCATTATTTCTGAAAATCAACAATCGAGTCAGTGCCACTCATAAAATTTAAATCTCCCTAATCAGCCTGTATTTGTAGTTATTGCATTTACCAGACTCTATATATAGGTATATCTGATTATTTCATTATGTCTTCAGTGTAGACAGTCTATGTATTTACATATAGAATTACTGTACATGTTATATTATAAATTATTTTCTTTTTACTTCTTTATGTCATAGTTAACACTCTATATTGATTTTTTAAAATTATATGTGTAGATAAATTCTATAACCTATGAATATCGTTTCAGGGTAGTAAAGGGGCCATTGCTAAATATTGTTTTGAAAAGGTAGCACTAATTCTGAGAGGGTTAGAACCACTATTCTAAAAACAATGTAGTCCTTGTTATCACTATATTATAACCTCTTAACTTTATCAGATGAATGTCCATTTCTGTGAAAAATACAAATTGCCACTTATCGTAGTTCACTAGTGCAATCCTTCCTGAGGTGGGACAACATTTCTGTCTTGGAGAGCAGAAGTAACTGGCCCTCATAGCCACCTAGACAGTCTAGAAGGGGCACAAATCTCCCTTTACTATTCTGGTACAAATGTGGGCAGATTTTCTTCTTACTTTCCAGGAACAATTTCTAGATCCCACTAGAACATTTAAACGAAGTCTTACTAATAGCACAGGGAAAATCAAAGTGAGAAAATGAATGTCATGAAACTAGATAAACTAACGTATGCAATGTTCTCATCCTCAACTAGGGGTTCTTTGCAGGAATTCCTTCCTCCTACAACAAGTTTTGTCTCCACGCAATCGTGCTTACCTTTAACCTCTCCATTCAAAGTACCAAAGGGAGCTTGAAGCCCAAAATAAGGAGACTGGAAGTGGGATAAACATTTCCTCATTTTAAATTGTGTAAGGCCTTCTTTTCAAATGCCTCCTTCCTTCTCAAGGACCTGATCTTCCATTGATGATTAACATCAGGAAGTTTGACTGGTTTGTTCTGAAGGCTACCTGGTCTTTGCACAGCTTTTTAGAGCTTCATTCTAGACCACCTCTGAAAGAAATCTATGAACCTGCTAGGTTCAGGGAACAAGGATATAAAGCTGAAGTGTGTGTATTGTATGTTAAAACTAAAAAGTAAAGTTAAAAAGTGATTACTATTTTTCCATTTATTTATTTATTTAAAAAAATTTTTTAAAAATTGTTTTTGAGACAGGGTCTTGCTCTGCTGCCCAGGTTGGAGTGCAGTCATGTGATCATAGCTCATCACAGCCTCAAACTCCTGGGCTTAAGTGATCCTTCCACCTTAGCCTCCTGAGTAGCTGGGATTACAGGTGTGCACCACACTAGCCCAACTAATTTTTTAAATTATTTGTAAAAATAGAGACTTAACATGTTGCCCAGGCTGGTCTTGAACTCCTGGCCTCAGTGATCCTCCTGCTGTTGCCTCCCAAAGAGCTGGGCTCAGAAGTGTGAGTCACCATGCCCAGCCAAAAAATAATTTAAATGCTTAAAACTGCTTTAAATAATAAAGTCTATTTATTTAAAAAATAATATTAAAATTATTTTGAAACTTAAATATTCGACTTGTGTGTAGACCAGGGCATAGTATTATTTTCAGGAATTAAATTCTTTTTTGAATAACGTTAAAAAGAATTCAATAAATTCTAAAATCTTTTTAATGTTTTTATTGTCTAAGAAAATGTGAATTGTAGTTTCTTTTCTGGAATGGAATGTGCAAGGATTCACTTTATATTTATTTATCAATTTGTAATATTCCGACGGCTTTCATATGCATTAATTTTTTTTCAGTTATCAGAGGGGTGGTAGAATCTAGTGATTAAATAATAGATTCTGCAGTCAGACTACCAGAAGGTTAAATCCCAGTTTCCCCACTTAGTAGCTGTGTGATCTTGGGCAAGTTACTTAACTTCTCTGTGCTTTAATTTTATTCCTTATAATGGGGACAATTATAGTTCCTAACTCATAGAGTTGTTGGATTAATACTGTAAAATACTTGGAACACTAAACACTCAGTGTTGGGTATTTTTATTCTATTTGTATCATAAAATTCTGAGAACTAATAGCAAAGTATTTGAGGATGTGAAGGGGGCAAATGGTAAGTGGAAGAATCAGGGCAGCAATCTTGGCATTGAAGTAGTCTCCAAACCAGATTACTGTTTATTAGAGTGAGGTATTCCCAAGCCCTTCAGGGAAGGGCCCTTTTCACCTCACAGGAGGTTAGATTCAGGACATTCCAAAGACAGATCTGTTCTTGCTTCAATTAAGTGAATAAAGCAGGTTATAAAAATGGGCTTAAAGGTGCAATATTATATGCTCCATATGATCTCAATCATTAAAACAAAGTACAAAATAAAGACCAGAAAACAGATAACAAGCAAATATGCCAAAATATCAGAGTGTTTGCCACTGATGGTGGAATTGTAGGTTACTCTGTGCTTTTTTATAATTTTCTCTATTTTCCAAATGTTCTGTATTGAGCAAATATGCTGTTTTGATAATCAGAGAGGAAAAGCAGAAAACCAGAATAATGTCAATAACAGTTGAGATTTGTTCTGTCATACTGGAGTCAAATAATGGAGTCAAAGAGAAGTAGGAGAGAAAGATTTAAAATATAAATCTTCATTTTAGAAGGGGTTTTCTGCTTTAAGCAAGAGCTGCCATGTCCATAGTTTATGAATTTAGCATTCCAGTTAAAAATTAAGCAGATATTAATCAAATGTAATTGCAGTTGCACAAAGGCAGACTGCCTCAGTGAGGAAATGAGGTATAGCAGTCAACAGAACCAAGCAGCCTTGTCTTTCCTAGACAGAGTGAAACGCTAAGAAGTTTTTTCCACAAGAGGGCGATAACTGTTCAGCGTTTCATCAAACGGGCCTATGGCCGCACTGTAAGCCAAGCCGCGATGCAAATAAAATAACTTTTTTTCTCACTGAAGAATAAGGAGCTGCACAAGGAGGCGGCAGCTGGAAGGACCACCACGAACACACTGAGGCACACTCAAGTCAGAAGCAACAATTTGTAGCGGAATATAAAGAGGAACAAGTTTACAGAGTCGTTTAAAAAATTATGTTCAAAAAACGTTATTTATACATACATAAGTTTTTCATGGCTGTTCACATCAGATACTTTTTAATCTGGTGCATCAAACTGGATTAGCACTTCATTCTGTAAGAAAATTCTGGAAATCTACAGACCTTCCTATAAGCACTTTGATTCCACGCTTCCATATTTTAGAATGTACTTCAATCCAAGTGGGTTTCCTAAAAGGAAATGGTTCCCTGAAAAGAAAATGCTTGCGCACGCGGGGCCGGGGGAAATTTTAATTTTCGAATGAAAAGAGATTTTCATTTGTATATGTATATGTATAAAATCTTTGGCGGTGTGTGCTTTGCTAAAGTTCAAGGCCAGTTTTCTCTCTAGTAGTTCATTGGTGTTTTCTCGCATTTACACTAATTCCAGGACTCGGGTTTTGGTATTGCAGATGTTTCTGGACTTTAGTATTTTCCATTTTCTTGGACCTTTCAGAAGCCACCCTTCGGAGCGCACTTAACTCCCAGGTACGTATTCTGCGACTCTATGGAGAGCTGTAATCCTCTCTCTCACTGACGATATCGCTGAGGGAGGTCCTGGACTTCGAGATCTTTTCTGTGGTAGAATGGATGGGGCTGTTTACACTGGTCGCTTCCCCACTTGTTTGGTGTTGGCCTCCACTGGGAGAGCGCCGAACGCAAGATCCTACGGCGCTTTTCCACGCTGTCTGCTTCAATTCTTCCCAAATCTCTACCTTAAGTGCTGGGCAGCAGAAGTTGTGGCAAAGGTGCAGTTTCCACTCTACGGCGTTTATAGGAAGCAAAGAAAGACAGACACGTTCTCCCCCTCGCCCTGCTATCCTTCCTCAAGGGTAGGTTGGTTCAAGCTTGGGGACATTCTTCCTTCTTCCTTGTATTTCTACCTAGCAATCAGCTCAATCCTTTTATGACATTCAGTTAAACCCAGCTGTCCCGCGGGTTCAGCACAAACAGGCCCTATTCGTCAGGTGAAATGGAGTTATTAAAGAAGTCATCCAGACACTTCAAGCAACTGCATTTTAGAGAGATTTTTGGACTGAAACACACACATAATTCCCTTCATTCCTCTCCCCATCCGACCCCACCCCACCCACTTTTTTTCTGCAGAATAGAAATTGACTTTCTGCTGCTACACTTGAGTATCCCGACATTTGACATTACTGTATTTGGGGCAAAACCGTTATCATCCCTCCCTTCAGAATGTTAGTACGTTTAGCTGAGAGTTCATTTGCATTCCTTCCGTTAGTTACCTTGAATTTGGTGGCTATTCTTTTAACTTAAAACAAGTATCAAAACGCGCTTGGCATTTCTGCGTCAAGGGTTAGACTGCAGGTAGAGAGGTCAAGTGGACGGCACAGACTAGGCAACAATGCCAGCAAGCTAAAAACAGTAACCAGAAAACAAATGCTGTTGTTTCCAGCCTCAAAGTCGAGGAGCACAGAACCTTCCTCACCGCCACCCTTTAAACCCTTTTTGCAACCTCAGAATTTGCCAAACCGCTTTCATTTATTTTTCAATTAAAATGCAAATCATTTGCTTTCAAACAGAGCCCCCCCATCCCCATTAGATATACTGCGTAGAGATGCGCCGGGATCCTTGCGACCACGTGTTACACGTCCACTCCCAAGGGGTACTTGAAAAAGTCCCACTTTATTAGGTCGTGGGCAGGAAGGCATGCTGGTTTCGGAGGATCCCCAAGAAAGAGCAAGTCCTGACTCTCAAAGGCATCTGAAGGCAATGCGTTAAGACTGCCCCACCAGAAACAAGCCTCCCGCGTCAGCGGGACCAGGACTCGGGTCCCGAAACTGGTTTCAACCACGCAGTTAGAGCGGAGGGCAGGGCGATCTTCCCCCGGGAGTGACAGGGGGCAGCCCACCCTCTCCGAGGACGCTCCATCGTTGTCACCGCTCCCAGCTGTAGACAGGCAGCAGATCCACTACAACTAGCACCTGGCAGGAGGCACCGGCCTGCCTTCCCGTGCTGCCCAGCGTGCGTCTGCAATACACGCTGCTCTACGCGGGATCGAGCACCCGGGGCTCACCCCCTCACTACCAGGGATCAAGGTACACGGATCCGGAATTTTTTATTGTCATAATTAAGAACAATGCTGCCATTTTAATTTGGCAATGCAAATGATACGTAAAAGTGAACGATGGAGACATCCTTACACCAAGCGTTGCAACTATTTACTCAAGACAGTTCACCCTGAGTTGGATTGAGTTGAATCTCAGTCTCAATCTCTCCCCCACCCCCGTGTCTCTCTTTGGCAACCCCGCCTCCAATAGTAGATACTAACATTCTCAATAGGGAAATATTCAACTCTCTTCCGAGTCATAATATTTACATGAGATAAAAAGGGGATCACTCTTTAACATTGGAATCTTTGGGGATGACTGGCCTCTTTTCCTCCCAATTCCTACCTAGTCCTTGAGAATGCAGTGTCCTGGAGGATGTGAGGAGGTCGCTGGAGGGCCAGGCGCAGAGTGGAGACTGAAGGTTGGGTACCACCGCCAGGGTGGAGTGTCCGAAGGCGAGAAACGTTTCGTTTGTAACGAAGCCAGAGACATAGGCCCCCCAGTTTCAAGGCTAGGACGGGCTATGCCTGCCACCATCCTCCCGCAGCTTCCTGGCCGAGGTGGCAGGGCGCTGGGGTTTAGACCCAAGCACTGGATCCCCGCGTGGAAATGCAGAAGGTCCGCACATCAGCTCTCTTCTGAAGCAAGTCTTGGCTTGACTCCTTAGCACTATTCATGCTGACGAAGGACTTCACCTTACCCCAGGTCAGATTCTAAAGTCCATGAAATAATAGATTTAAACCAGTCTTGAAGTTAATGAAGAAAGATAAAGGAAGAGGAGGACCAAATAACATTGCTTCTATCTTAGAAGGAAATAAAACTGGCAAATATAACCCTTCCTTCCCCCAGTTTCAGACTCAAACTCAAGCTGACCCTTAAAAACTAGTGCTTAGTAAACGAAGGTTATCGAAGCGGAGTACGCCCTCCTGGCTTTTCGTGCTTGGACCCAAATGAGCGCTTTGACACCAATAGCTAAACTCCATCCGTCGGTGGTGCTGATCAAATTTTATTCTTGAGCCATTTATTGCGTTTATTTCTGTTTTCTGCTCATTAAAATTGTAATTAATGATCTCATCCAAATTTGCTGTAGCGACCACCTTCCAATGGTGTGTTACTTTAACATGCTGAATTCTCAAAATTGTCAAAGGGTTTTCCTTCTCCAGCCCGCAGTTCAACCCTGTCGGGAACGTAAAGATCAGCCAGAGATGGAAGAGATTTAGAGAGTAAAGGAAGCCACCCTTCAACTCCTAAACTCTAGATAGACATCCCACCACCACTGTCCAGGAGCTGGTACATCTCCATCTCCCGTAGCAACTCTAGAATTGGGAGTAGGCGCCAGAGTTTTGGAGAGGGTTTTCAAAAGCTTACAGTTCCCAGGGTGTACCTAGATGCTTCTGTATCTAAAGTTTCCGCCTGAATTTTGATGATTCTACCCCCATGTAAACCCAAAGGAAATAACAACAATAATCAAAGGGAGAAAAGTTAAGGGAAAAAACTCCCTCACTGTTCTCAGGTATAAACATCATCTGACAGATAAATATTCCTATTAAACGGATTCAGTTTTCAGCGAATTGAGTAACCCATAAATGATAATGAACGCGGTGGGAAGCGACGGGCGGGGGGGAACTCGGGAATGAAAAAAAAAATAAAGTGGAGGAGAAAGAACAGAAAAGGAAAGCAGGAGGTGGAAAGATGGAAGAGGACGATCCTTTGGCCTACAAGGGGATTAAGGACATCTATAAGGCTTAAGGAGCAACAAATTAATTTACACAATTCTGGGAGAGCCCAGATGGCCTTTAATTAATCCCTTCAAAAGAAGGAGCCAGGCCAGGGCTGCGCCGGCTGCCTGCTCCATTAGCTCCATTTTACAAGGGACCAGACTTGGTTCGAGGTGAGGCGCCCTCCAGAGCTGGTGGGGGAAGGGGATAGGATGACGCGAGCGGGCTAGTGGGGAAGCAAGGGAAGAATATGAACTGCTTTTCCATAAAAGGGCTGAGTTTTCATTATTCCTCTCTTTAAAAAGTAATACCCTCTTCGTCTCTGCTTCCCCCTCCCCTTTCTCATTTTATTTAGCACAATTAATTGAGGCGGCCACTGGCCCCAGCGCGGAACCGCACCACTCACCAGCTCCCGCCCCTCCTGGCCCCGCCCACAGGAGAAAGAAGTAGGGAGCGGGAGGGGACTAGGCGGGCGCGGCCCTACGCCTGGCCCGCCTCAGCCAATCAGAGGGTGCGGCGCCCCCGAGTGGGCGAGCCCCAGGGGCGACGCAAGGATCGAGGCGGCGAGCTATTGGACACGGTGGTTACGCCCCCGGCCTGCGCCCGGCTCGCCGGCCCCCGCAGCCTCGGAGTGACGTCCCTCAAAGTTCTCATTTTGGTCCCCCACTTCCCCCTCCCTTTCGTCCCCCAGCTAAAGAGGGGTAGGGAGTGATGCAAATGTTTTATTACCTTTGAGAGCTTCATCTGAACTGTCAGGCCCGGAGGGAGAGAGGAAAGGAGAGAAAGAGCGGAGGAGCCGCGGAGAGGGTCAGTTTGGCCAGAGGACAGGACTTAGAAGACCGAAGCCTGGGAAGCCGCGAAGAAAATGCCAGAGAGGAGAGTCAAAGGCTGAGAGTGAGAGGGAGAGAGGGAGCGGGGGTGGGGCGGGGGTCGCCGGGCCCGTTTGCAGAAGTGGACTGACGAGCGGCGCCGAAACCCAGCCGTCAGACTTTTCACACTTAGTCTTTTGTTTTTCTGTGTTTTTCCTCCCCCTTTTTCTTTTCAATATTGCAACTCCAGTGCCCCGTGGGCCAGAGGGCAAGGCGGGTGGAGGTGAGGACCTGGGAGCCGCGGGGATCCGTGGCACTGCCCTTTCTGGCGCAGCAGCCCGGGGCAGCGTGGGCGGAGGAAGCCCGCACAGAGGCTAGATCTCCCGCGGGCTGGATGCGCTTTCTCCCCGGGCACAGTGAGCGTCGAATGCGAATCAGCCGCGCGACCGAAAGAGCAGAGCATCCCAGTAAGATCAGAGGAGCGCCACGGGCTGCACAAGGCGTCCTTTGAACCTCCCCAAAGAAAGCAAGCCACCCCCACCCTCCAACTTCAAAGTGGAGATTCGGCAACTAACTTTGCTACAAACTCTCCGGAGCCAGCCTGGGTTTTGTTTTGCTTATTTCCCGGGGGCAGAAGATGAGAAGTAGCGCACTTTGAACAGCTAGGAAAAGTGAGGAAGAGAGAATAGCCAGGGATCGAATCTAGGACTCGCGGAACGAAAGGACTGCCTAGCCCGCCGGGACGCCTGCTTTTCTCGGCGAGCTGCCGCCTCCCGCGTGGAGGGTTTGGACATCTCTGCTGCGCAGCTAGGCGAGCAACTCCCGGCAGCGGCATTTTTGGTTCAGTTGGCAGCTCGCCTCCGGGCGCGCCGAGTGCCTCTCCGCTCGCGCCCTCGGCGCTTCCGGCTCCTCTGAGCCCCGCGGGGGGCACCAGCCAGCGCCCTCGCTGCAAGGCTACGGTCTCCGGCGTGGCCGTGGGATGTTAGCGGTGGGGGCAATGGAGGGCACCCGGCAGAGCGCATTCCTGCTCAGCAGCCCTCCCCTGGCCGCCCTGCACAGCATGGCCGAGATGAAGACCCCGCTGTACCCTGCCGCGTATCCCCCGCTGCCTGCCGGCCCCCCCTCCTCCTCGTCCTCGTCGTCGTCCTCCTCGTCGCCCTCCCCGCCTCTGGGCACCCACAACCCAGGCGGCCTGAAGCCCCCGGCCACGGGGGGGCTCTCATCCCTCGGCAGCCCCCCGCAGCAGCTCTCGGCCGCCACCCCACACGGCATCAACGATATCCTGAGCCGGCCCTCCATGCCCGTGGCCTCGGGGGCCGCCCTGCCCTCCGCCTCGCCCTCCGGTTCCTCCTCCTCCTCTTCCTCGTCCGCCTCTGCCTCCTCCGCCTCTGCCGCCGCCGCGGCTGCTGCCGCGGCCGCAGCCGCCGCCTCATCCCCGGCGGGGCTGCTGGCCGGACTGCCACGCTTTAGCAGCCTGAGCCCGCCGCCGCCGCCGCCCGGGCTCTACTTCAGCCCCAGCGCCGCGGCCGTGGCCGCCGTGGGCCGGTACCCCAAGCCGCTGGCTGAGCTGCCTGGCCGGACGCCCATCTTCTGGCCCGGAGTGATGCAGAGCCCGCCCTGGAGGGACGCACGCCTGGCCTGTACCCCTCGTGAGTACTACCACCCGCGCCCCGATGCCTGCCTGCCGTGCCTGTTCTGCCCACTCCCGGGTCGCGGCCCCTGGTGTGCATGCCGCTCAGTCCATCCTGTGGCCCGCCCCAGTAGTTTGACAGCGCCGGAATCACACCAGTTAGGTTGGGCCAGGGCTTCCAGAAAGGGATTCTCGCTTTTCTGAGCTCGCGTGGCTGTATCCAAGCGCCTCCCTCTCTCTAAGTCTTGAGTACGCCTGGGCTGAGCCGGTGTGTGTGTGTTCGTGTGGACCACAACGCGGTGAGGGACGTGTGTCTCGTCCGAGGCCCTGGCTGTTCCTGAAACGGCCTGGCCAGGACCGCAGGCCTGGCCTGGATTAGAAAGATGGGGAGGAGAGGGGAGGAGAGGCCACTGCATCTCTGCTTTCCCGGCTCCTCCCTGTCGTCCAGCGCCCCATTCCGCCTTCGCCAGCCTAACCCGCTGCCTCTCTTCGAAGCAGTGAGGCCCGGCAGCGGTGAGCCCTCCACCGCCCGGGAAGTGAGTGTATTTGCATGCACGTCTCCGCCTGGGGTGTCCCCACCTCACCTCTTCGCCCTCGCCGCCCGAGTACACTCGGCCTGGGTGAGCCCATTGAAGACAGTCCAGCGTCCCCAGGGCAGGGCGAGCGCTTCCAGCCGCTCACCAGCGCTGGGCCCGCGCTTTCCCACCTGCCTCCACTCTGGGGGCTGGCACACGCTGCGTCCGGGCACATTTGGGGACATCGTGGAGCTCAACACCCTAACACAAGAGCGAGCCAGGAGAAGAGTGAGATGAAGGGACACGGCCTGGGGAAAATGTACCATCCCGCAAAGACCTTGCTTGAGGCAAACTGAGTTGCCCCAAGATCACGCTAGTCTTCGGGGTAGTAGGCCGCAGCGCCGCGGAGGCTCCCAGCCTTCCAGGTGGACTTCAGGGCCCAGCCTGGGGTCCTTTTCTCGCTCAGTTCTTCGCCTTTCAGCGAGTCTCCGAAGTTTCTTCCAAGTCTCCGGACCTCCTTAGTGCGGCTGAGCGGCAGTAACTGCGGGAAGTTGCGAAAGCCAAGTGGAGGTTCTCTTGGGAAGCCCGGGGACTGTGGCAGCCGGGCCTGGTGGGGGTGCCAGGGAGACGCTATTGTATCGGTTTTGATGGCCGTATTAGGGGCCGCCAACAAAGGCTGTGCCCCCTCCCCCTTCCCCTCTCCCCCTCGGCTGCAGCGACGTTAGACTTGGGGGCGATTTAGCTCTCTTGTGTGCAAAAACAAGGACCCCTTTGTTGCCTGGACACAGGTTAGGGAAGCGTTGAAGGAAAAAAAAAAAAATCTAGTTATTCTCACTTAAAGGCTCCGGGGCCGAACGAGCACCGACTGGATTAGGAGGCGAGAGTGGCCTTTTTCTGGCAGTCGTTAATTTAATGGGGCCTTGCGATTAGGCTCTGGCAAACTTTAGCAATAGGCTCCCTAGCTGTTTGACGTCGGTGTTGAGCAGAAGGTATTTACTGCTGCGCCAAACACGCGGCTTTTAAAAAACAGGTGGATGTAAAAAAGCAAAGGGAGACGTGCCGTTAGTCTGGAAGCGCCACTACACTTCTGGTGTCCGCCACAGACTGAGCTTTCTTTCCCCACAAAACATTGTTTTTCGAGTTCGTTTTTTCCCCCTAGTGCAGCCGCTTGTAACCGATTGTTTTTCCCCCTCTCTCGTTGTTTATTGGTTCTCACAGATCAAGGATCCATTTTGTTGGACAAAGACGGGAAGAGAAAACACACGAGACCCACTTTTTCCGGACAGCAGATCTTCGCCCTGGAGAAGACTTTCGAACAAACAAAATACTTGGCGGGGCCCGAGAGGGCTCGTTTGGCCTATTCGTTGGGGATGACAGAGAGTCAGGTCAAGGTGAGTGGACCTTGCATACCTGGAGGGATAGGTACCGCCCCTGTCGCGCGCGCGTGCACACATGGGCACACACACACACACACACACCCCAAACTAACAAACAGTCGCCTGGGAGGTGCGAATCCAAGGAGCCTGGGGAGAAGTTGAGAGCAGTGAAGGAGGGTGGGGACTACAAAGGCGCTGGGGTCTTGCAGGCGGGCAAACTCTTGATGAACAAAAGGAATCAAGTCCCCGCCTTTGAAATTAGGTTAATCTATATAGCAGCATGTGCTGGGGGACTCACCATTATTAGAGAATAAAGGCATTACTGAAATATCAGCCCAGAGAATAGATCAGGCCAGTTAGACAGCTTCTACATATCCTATCTGTAGCGATATCCAAGTTTTTGTTTGTCAATTCAGGCTCCACTAGTTATATAATTTCCTAATGTAGATCAGTATTACAGGGCTACTGTATTAATTCGCAAGTAAAAATAAATAAATCCACAGGATCTAACCACTTGCCATAGATGAACCTGTTTTTTAGCTTAGCTTAAGGCAATCGCTTTGGAATAGTAATTTTACAAATGAATTGACAAGATTATTACTGAATTATAGGCTTGAATTTGGTTTAAAATAAGTTTATTAACAGATTTAGGATTTGCACTATTCATGACAACAATTTATAATTAAAACATCACTTTCCTTATAATTGAGTTGTATAGTATATTTCCAAGGAAACAAATTTCAGAAATTTTTTCCTAAAAAATAAAGGGATTAAACAAGCTGGGTAAATTCAATCTAATGGTTTCTTATATTTCCAATAGTCTCTTTTGTCCTTCTTTTTCAGTTTGTTATGTTTGTTTCTTTGGGGTGTAAGTCTGTTTTCATTAGTTCTATTGTTGCTTCTTAAATTAAGTAGGAATAACATTAGCCATGTCTGCTGGCTAGTGTATTTCCCCCTGGACAGCCATCATAAAATACATTTCAGGAGTGATTTTGTATGTGGCCATTAGGATACCATCACAGTTAAAATTATTTTTTGCAGTAGGTTGGTACAGAGCCTACTGCGATAATCTGGAGGTCTTCATTTTTCACCGTAAATATGTCTATATGGCTAGAAGTGAATTATTATAGCTGTATAAAGAAAATAAACATCACTTTCTTAACAATTCTGATTCTCTAGATAAAATACATAATGGAGGACAAGAATAAAGGGAGGATAATTCAATATCTTTGGGAAATATGTTGCTTCTTGCTGATGCTTTAGGTAAAATATGTGTCAAACATCATGAATAAGCTTAAAAATATTTGTATTAAATGTCTTGAGCAGGAACACAGTTAAAATAACATTTGAAAGAATAGACATGCCAATTGTGGAAAATAATGTAATTGACAATTTTTCACGTTTTAAAAATAACCAATGGTAATTCTAGTCTTCACTTTACTTTGGGTTTATGAAGAACATTAAAGGCGATTTGAAGTTTGTATTTTAACAGATCTTTTTTTTTTTTTTTTTGAAGTGCACCATACATTGCAAGTAAAAACTGGGAGGATATTTTTTATCTACCATGTTTGTACACATTCAGATCTGAGATAAGTGAAACAAACAAATGTTTAAAAGTGAAAAGGAGAACAGAAGTAATTGGGGCAAATGCTGTGCTTTCCCCCCACAATCTATACCGAAAAGCAAGTACGTGTCAGGTTGTTTGAAATTTCTTAATTTAAGAAAGTAAATAAGGAATAAAATCACAGCCACTGTGGGGCAACTTCATGAAGGGGGAAAGTTTTCAACTTCAAACTGGAAGGCAGGAAAGTGAACTCACTTTTAGGGACGCTCATTTTTAAGTTTCCGAGTTTTGTTTTTACTTTTGAGAACTCGCTCACTGACAACCTCAATACTCTTGTGTTACCATCGCTATGGCAACGGCAGTCAGTTTGTTGGTGCCAGTTACTCAGGGGGAACTTGGGGCGACGGAGACTGACTTTGACGGCCGAGAAAAGGGAGGGCTGCGAGGGAGGGCAGCAGGCCTTCGGGGGGCCGCGGGAGGGCCATCGAGATGCGGGAGTGGTAGCATGGCCTGGATCTGCTCGTTTAATTCCTCGCCCTTGCCTCCCCTCTCCTCCCTTTTCTCCGCCCTCAGGTCTGGTTCCAGAACCGCCGGACCAAGTGGAGGAAGAAGCACGCTGCCGAGATGGCCACGGCCAAGAAGAAGCAGGACTCGGAGACAGAGCGCCTCAAGGGGGCCTCGGAGAACGAGGAAGAGGACGACGACTACAATAAGCCTCTGGATCCCAACTCGGACGACGAGAAAATCACGCAGCTGTTGAAGAAGCACAAGTCCAGCAGCGGCGGCGGCGGCGGCCTCCTACTGCACGCGTCCGAGCCGGAGAGCTCATCCTGAACGCCGCCGCCCGCCGCACCTTCCCGGCTCCGGCCTCCACCTCTGGGGCCGCGAGGGGCGCGGGGACCGCGTGCACGCCGCGCCTGCCCGCTCCTCGGGGCCCGGAGGACCCGGCCCTGCCTGCGGGGACCCTTTGCTATTTTTGAGATGTACATATCTATTTTTTTAACCTTGAAGTTGTGGGAGGGGATGTAGGGGAGAGAGACTCCGGGGTTGATAAGGCAAGAAAGACCACCAAATGCACTGCGTAAATGTCGCTACTGAAACCCGCAGCCGGGCCACGGTCCCAGCCGCGTCCCCATAGGCGGGCAGCGGCCTCAGCGCCCGGGTCCCCCTCGCCCCCAGATTTTGCCCCCGCGGGCGGCGGGGTAGGGGGCGCCGAGAGGTGCTGTGGAAGGGTTCACGCTCACCGCATGGGGGACCTCGGAGCGAAGCGGGCGGGCGCTGCCACAGATGGGAAGAGGGACGTTTCCCCCCCCACACACTGCTGTGCAACTAAAGTAACCTGTTGAAGGCTCTTTGTAAATAAATCGTGAGTTACACTGACTAGAAGTTACTTTATTGTGAATATTTAAAATGTAAAATGCTTTTTTGAATTTCGTATAAAAAGATGGACTTTCTTCCTTCTCCTCCTCCCCTTTGAAGAGCGACTCAAGCCACACCTTCCCTTTTATTTTGAACTTAATTTGAGAAGCGTAGAATAGAATGTCCCCACCTTCTCCGTCCCCTCCTCTCGTTCCTCTTTCCCGTTTGGATTTGCAGAATCTCACCTTTGCCCTTCATCTCTTCTCGCCCTGCCCTGCCCTGCCCACCCCCTGGATCTACACTGCGCTCCCGCCCCCCGGACTTGAAGTGGAAGACGTGGGAACCAGGGAGGGCCTCTCACCTGCCTCCCTGTTCCTCTCTGAAATTGCACAGTCGTTTGTTGCTATTTATTAGTGATTTAAAGAAAATATTGGGGAGGGAGGGGCTACAATAGCTTGTATTTAACTCCTTTCTGATAAAAATGCGTGTTAAAGTAGGTGGTGGGAATTGTTACAACCGCTCTGGGTCTGAAACATAAAAATTCATTTAGTTACTGTAATTGAATTTGAAGTGTTTTGTATCATAAGAATACTATAGAATATGTAAATTGTTTTCTTTTTACAGCTAATAATGGTGATATATTAGCATCTTTAACCTTTATTAATTTATATAAGGAATTCGGTTTGTAAAGAGAAGAAAACCCCCTTTGCAAGACCAGTTAAATGTAATGCACTTTCTGTTTCAAAGGATAAATCAAATTAAAAAAAACAGTTTGAAGACGTCTGTTGCCTTGAATGAAAGGGTACAGATCATCTGATCTCATCAGAGATCTCAAATAATAAAAGTCAAGACCACAAAAAAAATGGTATATCGGTTTCTTGGGTGAAATAGCTGTTACTTAATTTTTTTTTCTTTGGATGAGTGATGTCACATTTCTCATTCTCCTGGATAGGAAAATAAAATAAATGCAGCCCCACTCATGGTGATTCTTGGAGAGACTAGTCTAGCTAGCTAGCTGCTTCTGATGTCTGTGTTGTCTAATTTCTTCCTGATCGCTTTTTCCTTTTCCAGGAAGTCCCTGGGGTTGGGGGGCAGTTGGGAAGAGCTCATTTCCATATATCCAAGATAGCTCCTCAGTCAGCCCCTATTCGATTAGCGTAGAGGAGGCAGCGGAGCTCGCTGGTTGAGTAGCACTGCTGTTTGATGCTAATATTTCTCCCCCGTAGCTGTAAGACTGCAGAAATTGTGGAAAGACAGAAGCCTTGATTTTACTAAACATTACTGTTGAAAGATGAATTTAAAGAAAGCTTCCTTTAACTGGTGTAAAAATATTTTAGGGTTAAGAAAGCAATGTCATAGCTTCTCCAGCTGCCGAATCTGAAGAAAAAAAAAATTGGGAAGGCCAGGGCTGTATCACTGTTTTGGGATCTTTTTGTTTTTAGACACTCGGTTTCAGGCTCAGTGAAATATCATTACCTCCTTAGTGTTTCGGGTTAATGAGCTTGTGTTCAAAGAGAAAAAAATCAATAGAGTTCAGTAGATTCTTCAGGCTAAAGAAAGTATAGATCTGTTCTGTTCCCTTGAAAGTAAAAAATAGTTGAAAACTAAAATTTTCACAAATTCCACAAAATGAAATTGCCTAAAGAGAAATTATTGTAGAATGCAATGCTAATGGCATGATTTAACAGAAAGGCTGAAAATCTGTCCTCTTTTTTTTTTTTTTCTAGTTTGTGAAGTTCTCAGGGAGTTTCAAACTCTTCTGAATTTCCGTCTTCTTAGCATGACTAAGGTATGTGTCCTTCAGAGAAGCAGCTATTTTGAAGGAGGGTTTGCTGTGCTGGGATGATTTCTATTTTAGCTGTGAACAATACCTTCCTTTCTTTCTTCTTTTGTTTTCCTTCCTTTTTTCTTTCCTCCCCCCTTCCTTCCTTCCATTCCCTTCCCCCTCTCCTTCCTTCTTGCCTTCCTGACTTCCTTCCTTCCTCTTCCTTTTTTCCTTTCTCTCTCCCTCTATATTTCTTTCCCTTTTTATAAAAGGACAGAGGTGGGTGGGTAGGGAGGACACATCACCTATTGTCCTGCAACTGTACTTTATCATTTAATTTTTGAAAATGAGAACATTTTTTCTACTTTATTTCTTTTAGCCTTTACTCACACCTCCTCTGCCTTGAAAAGCCAAGCAACTTTTTATTTATTTATTCTTCCTAAAAAAACACAAAAAATCACAATATAATTAGAATGTTATTCCCAGAATATAATAATAGCAGTAATAGTGGCAGTAGTAGTAATATAGTAGTACTAGTCACAGAAAACTTGGAACTAAGATTGAAGCTTTTTCTCAAAAAGTAAACAGGTTGATAGCATTTATTCCAAGTTAGAGGTGTAGGAAGAAACCTCTCGCAAATCCCTTAGGAAGCGTTCCTCTGTGCTCTTCACCTTTCCATTCTGAGCATCTGAGAAGGGTGAAAGCTGATGCCTGGACTCCACTCCACAGGCAAATATGTAGAGGAAGGATGGGTGTGTGAGCTTGCCAGCCTGAGTACTGATGTGCTCTGAGGTGTGTGGGTGGCAGTCAGAGTCGGGCTCTGGGGCCAGGCTGCACTGGCATTTGCTCCTTTTTCTACTTGACTGCAGCAGTGGCTTGAGGTTTCCAGTTAATTTACTTCCACGCAGCACTCCAGCTGGCCCCCAGTTGCAACTGGCCCCATAAAACTGAGAATGAGAGAGAAGGGGGACATCTTACCCCTAATTCCCTTGTTCTTGGTTGGTTTGGTTTATTTCCATTTATGTGCAACAAGAACAGATTTTCACAAGGGTTGACTCGTGGGGAAACTGAGGAGACACTCTACAGCTTAAGTAATGGAGAGTAAGAATCATTTTTCATTTCGGTTCAAAAATTTTATGGCGTTAACAACCATAAGCGTCTGATTAAGGCTGCCAACCAACAATTACAGCTAACAGGGTCATGCTTTAAAAATAAAAAAGTCACAGCAAGTGGCTTGATGGACCACTGCATTTAAAAAGTCTTACAGGCATCAGAATGCCAACAGTGGAAAACAGACAAAAACAAGTGTGTGCGTGTGTGTGTGTGTGTGTGTGTGTGTGTGTGTGTGTGTGGTGAAAGAAAGGGTAAAACTGCTTTTTCATTTTTGTTGGTATGTGTTTCTTTTCCTAAAAAGGAAAAGGCAATGGGGCTGCATGGGAGATATAGAATAGAAGAGAAGGGCCCTGGACCTGTGTCTTAGATGTCCCAGCAGCATTCGCTGCATCTACTCAGTTCTCTTTCTGGGCCCCAAAGTCCAGGCTCAATTCTTCCACTTGGTGAGTAATTTTCTCTTTGGTTCACATTCAGGATTCTGTAACTTAAAGCTCCATGCCTTTCTTCCCAGAAGCTGTGGTGTGTTGAGCGGCTTTCCAAGCTTGTGAGCAGTTTAATACACTATTCCTTTCCCTGTTTCAGAGACAGTGGGAAGAGGGGGAACTGAAAATCACTGATTCTCTTCTAGAAATTTCCTCATTGCTCAGTGGGTAGGGAGTTTGGACTGCAGGCCAGCTTTTCTTGGAAAAGAGACCGGGGTGCATTTGCAACCCTTTGGAGCCTAATATTGTGTATTAATAGATGAGTATGTTATTATACCAGCATCAACTTGGGGAGATCCACACTGCCCTTTCCTTTAAGTTGATGATCAGCAGGGACAGACACACACACACACACACACACACACACACACACACACACACACACGCACGAGAGGTGAAATTCCACTAGGGAACTCCTAGCACTGAATAGTTTAAAGACACAGTGGCTCCTTTGTTAATCACTGACAATAGGATCTTGCAGTAACAACAAAGGTAAGTGGTAGATTTCTTCTGTAAACTCTATTTTATGTTAATTCGAACAAATTTCTCTGCACTAAATTTCTTCCTTCTTACCATACACACAGATAACAAGCAAAAAGTGCTCTTTCCTCCTCTTGTGACTTTTTTTTTTTTTTGCCAGTTATTCAGGACAATTATTTTATTCCTTTTTTTTTGACAGGAAAGTGTGCACTTTTTTCTTCCATAGCATTTAGACTGTGAGTTTTAGGGAGAAACATATTCTCCCTAATGTAGCCCCTTTTAATATCTATAGAAAACACAGCACTATAACCCTCTCTCCCAGCCTATTAAATGGAAAGTTTGACTGGGAGTAATGATGGTTTGAGCAGGATGACTAAGGAATAGGGTATTTTCCTGAAATTGAGACTTCAGTGTTCCAGAGATTGGCTTAGAGTTGTTCCACAAACTGAAAGTTTACCTGAGACCCTGGGGGATTCACTCTCTAGTCTTCCTCTTTGATCCAACATTGGTCACCCAAAGATGAAATGTTTAGATGTGCATCATTTGTTCTCATGCTCCAAAGCAGCCACTTCTATTGACTAACACACTTGAAGACTTTAAAGAGTAGAGCATAATGTCTGCATGGTGTTTGATATCTACTGGTGGGTGGCCAGAATTCTGAAGTAGAAGCTTCATTCAAAGTTTCTATTTTAGTATACTTTGAATAAGGGCTAGTTTGGTTGAAGATATGTTCGAAAATGGATTGCTTCCCCATTGTCAGGAAAGAGTTTTTACTATGTAATTTAAATAAGTGCATGTTATTTTTTCAGAGGGACCTTACCACCCTTCTAGTATAACATTTTCCCTATGTCTACCTCGGGAAAGCCAAAATAAATTATGAGGCATAATTATCCTATGTATTTACTTATTATAAGGGACAGATATATCAAATTCAGGAAAGAAGCTAGTATATAAATTCCTTTTACCTTTGTAACATATAATTTTATTTTTGGGACGTTGGGTGAATTAATTATGAAAACACTGTCCATCATCAATAAATTGTTTGGGACAAATCTATTTGGATAGACCACAGAAAGTTAAGATTGCTGAAAATCCATTGACTTAGTTATTACCACATGGTCTAATCATCTTCAAACAAAGGCATTCAACCAATTTTCATGCCTTTAATCTGAGCTCCATACAGGAGTCCATGGTTTATAGTAATTTCTCTATTTATCATTTGCCAGCCTTGGTCCTTGCATTTTATGCTATGGTTCAGCTCTTGAAAAGAATTTTGGAAACTTTTTTTTGACCCTAGATTTTTCTTCCTTCTCTGTACTCTTTACTTGGTCTGTAAGGATTTGCCAGTTTTTATTCTCAAAACCAAATGGTCTCAAGTGAATGAGAGGGTATAAGGAATCTTTCATTCTTGCCACAAGATCACAATGATCAAGAGATCATATAGTGATTGAGAGCAGGGCTCCACAGGTAGATTAGGGATGATAATTGCACCTACTTCATAGAATTATTGGGAGAATGAAATGAATTAATACATATGAACAGTACCTGGCACATAGTAAGCTATGAAAGTTGTAGCCATCATTGTTGTCATCACCATCATCATCATCATCATCAGCAGCAGCAGCAGCAGCAGTAGCACCATCAAGAAAGGCCCTGTCTCAGGTTGCCTTTAGCTCTAGCCCTACTGTCTTGTGCAACCAGGGAAAGATTATGCAAAGTGAAAGTGGAAAGAGAAGTTAAGACAGCAAAGGAGGATTTCTTCTATGTAAACCTTAAAGCCTGACTACCTGAAGTGGTTTTTGAATATTTTAAAAAATTATTTTATTTCTTCCTTTAAAAGATGGATCCTAATTCCTGTGTTCTTGGGTATGGGTTAAATTCAGTGTCTTCCTTCTAGTGAATACAGTGTAGGTTACTCTCCTTGTTCTTTCTCTTGGATCACTTGATGTGGAGGAAGCCAGCTGCAGTGTTGCCCCTATATAGAGGTCCATGTGGTGAGGAACTGAGGCATCTGCAGGCTTATGCGAGGCCCTGAGGCAGAATCACCCAGCTGAACCCTCCGGGATTCCTGACCCATAGAAACTGTGTCAGATCATGTTTATTGTTTTAAGCCATTAAATTTTGGGATAATTTGTTACATAGCACAGATAAGCAGTACCCTATATAATAGACCTATCTTTGTTCTCTGGATAAAGAGTAGTCAATTGAAAGTAAAGATTCTTGAAGAAGGCATCTTTCATAATTACTTAAAGTCATTTGAAAATGCCACCAGACTGACACTATGTGGTATGAAAGGAAGCACTACCGTTAACTTCATTAGGGAGAGAAAACTTGAGCCCTAGCACTGGTTTCTATTTTTTGCAGTAACTTGATCCCAGACATTTCTTCCTCTATACAACTACGTCAATCAAACTTTCACAAAGTTGTTGTGAAACCCAAAAGCAAAAAGTCTTTATAAAGTGACATACAAATATAAGAGGTGATGATTATATCTTGTAATATGGCTGTGTAGTTTGGCTAAATATATCACAACTGGTGCTTCCCATGAAGAAATCTCAGACATGGACAGAACCTGGATCTGGTTCACAAGCCAGTACTACTTATCTTCTCCCCACAAGATGCGGCCAGAGACACACTTCCAACATTACTCTGCCTGCTTGGATGATGGGAAATGTAAAAACAAACAAACAACAAACAAATAAAAAACACAGATACAAACAAACAAAAACCTCAGGGAAAGAAAAGAGACATAAAAAGTCTCTTTTCACTTTTCACTGAGTTTCAAGTTAGGACTGAGCATTTGGAATTTGCCCCTTTTACCTTTCCTTTGAAAACTAGGGATATGACTCTCTTTTGAGAGAGACAAGGTTGCAAGAAGGCAGGAGATGGGGGAGTGGGTGAGAGGTGCTGAAGCTGCTGTTGATTTCCTGGGGCATAAGAAAGGGAGGGAGGCAGCAAGCCCTCAAAAGAATAGAGCAAGACCACTAGGAGTCACGGAACCAGCTCTTGATTAAGAGGGAAAACTCCCATAGAACTTGCTTTTTCCAGTGTGAGTTTGGGCCTTACTTGCCAACTGAAGTTGATGGGCAGAAGGTTCTTCCTCTTTGACCATCTACTCCACTTTTGCACACCTCTCAGAACACTACTGAAGCAGAGTGAAGCCAGGGTACCAGGGAAACAGTACAAACAGCAAATACAGTTGAAAACTTGGGCTTCAGTACCTCTGATATAAAAAGCAATCCCACTGCTGGTCTAGGTCTTGATAAACACAATTCAAAGAGAAAAGGGACTGCAAAGGCAAATATGAAATCAGCACATTGTCATTAACTTCCATTAGATAGAAAGTAAGGGACAAATGGATGACTCCAAGAGCCCTTGCTGTCAGCACACTTAAGGTGACTGTGTCAGCCAGGGACCCATGCTCTACCTGCAAGGGCCATGATGGTTTCCAAGTGAACAGTATCTATCTGTCTGTCTATCTATCTATCTATCTATCTATCTATCTATCTATCTATCTATCATCTATCTATCTAGCTCTCTATCTTCTGTAGTATAGTGCTGTGTCGTTTTGCCCAGGAGAAGAAAGAGCCTCAAAGAGACTTGATAGGCCAAAGTGGGTGACAATTTGGACAGAGCTGTAGCAGTACTACCTCTTAGAAAACTTTTAAACCTGGAATAGTCAGACTTTGAGGACATAAGGTCATACACAGCTTGTTTCCTGTTGTATCCTGGGGACACTGTGCATGCTCAGGTACACACCACGCCTGGCTAATTTTGTATTTTTAGTAGAGATGGGGTTTCTCCATGTTGGTCAGGCTGGTCTCGAACTCCCGACCTTAGGTGATCCGCATGCCTCGGCCTCCCAAAGTGCTGGGATGACAGGCGTGAGCCACCGCACCCTTGTACATCTGATTATTATGTAATAGTTTGACAAATTGCTAGAACAGGGTGTTTGGGAGCCCTTCTGCCCTAAAAAGGGTATGTGTTCTACCTTAATGGTCTCATCGTTCAATTCCTTTTCTTCGGTGCTTTTTCTACAATGCTGACTTACAGCAACAGACACTCTGCTGTCTAGGAGAGGCTAGAAAAAGCCTTAGGTGTAGTCCTTTGCCTCTCAGAATCTGGTGTCCTCTACCCCATGACTGGGAATTGGATAGGAATGGGGAATCGTGTGGTGGTCCTCCCGGCTCAGTCACACAGCTGAACTCCGGGCTGTCTTATTTTATCTGCTCCTATTCGGCTGGACAGAAAACTCACTGTTTCCCATACCCTGCGTTTCTCGCTCATCTCGGGCACAAACCAGACTCTCTGTGAAGAGCAGGGTCGGTATAAGAGCAGAGAATGAAGGAACTTGGCTTTTCCTGGGGGAGGGGGTGGGGGAAGGTCCTTATGTGGAGGAGAAAGGCTTCCTGGACTAGGACCACGGTTCCTAAGGGAAGAGTTTGGAATGTGCTCTGCGGTCCCACCTACAGGAAGGAGCTATAGAATCTCTCTGAATGCCTGAAGAGGCTGTGCTGGGCCTGGGCCTCCCAGAACTTTCCCTTTAGGTGAGGAGAGACCTGAAGGACCTAAAGGCTGGAGCTCCCAGAGACAACTCTGGTTTAAAAAGGCCCTGAAAAGAAAACATGCAGAAGTTGTAGGGGTTAATGTTCCCTTTCAATCACAGACAAAGGTCAAAATGAGACAAATCGGAATTCGTCTTGATTAAATGAGGAGTCAAAAAATGCGGTTTTGTCTGTGTTGTTCTCATCTGCTCCGAAAGAAGTCTCTCCCAACCCCGCAGGAGAATCCCATACAGAGACTCAGTCTGGGCCTCTTTGCACACGCTGCGGCGTCGAGTCCAATGGGTGCAAGGGAGACGAGAGGGCAAGCGTGTGTCTGTGGGGGCGGGCTTCATGGCTGGACTTGCTGCGTGGGTGATCCCAGGACTAAGGCAATTAGAACGCTCGGGATTGGCTGGCTTGTGTAGTTTGCTTATCGATGGCTTTAAGCCCAGACGGCACCACGTCTGCCACACGATACCTGTATCCATCGCACAACCTGTAAAGCGGCTGCGCCTACTCGCAGTGGAAAGGGCGCTACAGGCCCCGGATCTTCCCAGAAGCTCCACCACTTCAGGGCAGGAAAAGGCAGCCGTGGCCGCTGCCTTCAGTTGTCCAGCTGTCCCTTCCTTTACACACCCTTCCTCGTGTGTTCTCTCCTCTGCGACTCTCCCACAGTTTGGACTGAGCTGAAATCCAGTCATGGCGCATCTCAGGGAGCTAGTCTCCGCACGCCGCCAGGTTCTTGATAATATATCCTGTGTCTACTTTCGGGGATGACAAAGCCCAGAAAATTCAAGCGAGCTAGGATGTGCCCGGCACTGTGTTCCCTTCTCTGGTCCAGTTTCTACCTTTCGGCAAATTCTTTACTGAGCCCGGCCGAACGAAGTCTGTTTGGGATTTAGGACGTTGGTCACCATACCTGGCCCAGTTCCCTAGTGCTGGGGGCAGGCTCCGTCCCTGGGACCCGGGTCCGGGGCCCTGCAGCCTCAGCCTGGGGTGCTGGGCATACGCGGGCCTCGGAGTTTGTGCGCTCCACCCACTGCTGCTACCAGTACGTGGCCAGTTGGGCTCCCTCCCCCAGGACAAGTTCCCGGGAGGTCCCGCCGAGACCAGGGGTACCATCATCCCTGGGTATCGCCGTCCCGAGAGCCCTGCCAGCGCGTGGCTTCGCAGAGAATGAAACTGGGGTGTCCAGGGTAGAGCCCAGCACAGTACGCTCTCCCCGTTTTCCCTACCTCTGGTGTTTTCAGCGCAAGCTTCGGAGACGTAGCCTGAGCTTCCCATGCCGGGCACGCCCCCTGCAGGTCGGGCCTGCAGCTCGGCGCTACGGATCCTGGACGCAGGGGTGCTTGGCTCTCCCCAGCGGTGCCTGTTACGCCCTCTGCAGGCCGGGCAGGCTCTCCAACGCTGACACGCGCCCCGGGTGGAGCCGCGAACGCTGTCGCCATTTTCCCCTGGGCCCGGGGTAAATTTGCACCTCTGATGTGGCTAACGCCCTGCGCCTCCGCTGACCCCGGGGAAGGGCCTGGTGCACTGGGCGTCCCCTGGGTCGCGGAGGTACAGGGAGGGGACAGCGGATACCAGAGCGTCGCTGGGGAAGGCCGGGCCTTGCAATTCGCAGACCGGTGCGGGCCCTCTTCCCCGAGGTCCCGGGACACAGACATCCAGGCACACTGTGCTAGTTTCCGCGGGGTAGTTTTCGGTCTTCTCTCTTCCTTGCTTGGTTATTACTTTGAAACCGAAAAGGCAACCACAGCTATGCTGGACCTTTTTTTTTTTTTTTTTTTTTTTGACGGAGTTTCGCTCTTGTCGCTCAGGCTGGAGTGCAGTGGCGCGATCTCGGCTGACTGCAACCTCCGCCTCCCGGGTTCAAGTGATTCTCCTGCCTCAGCCTCCTGAGTAGCTGGGGTTACAGGCGCCAGCCACCACGTCCAGCTAATTTTTTTTTTGTATTTTTTAGTAGAGAAGGGGTTTCGCCATTTTGGGCAGACTGGTCTCGAACTCCTGACCTCAGGTGATCCGCCCGCCTCGGCCTCCCAAAGTGCTGGGATTACAGGCGTGAGCCACCGCGCCCGGCCGGACTTGACCATTTTTAAAATGTTATGAATGACACATTTAGAGACGTGCGTACACACGTGTGTTCATATGTTCACATTTACCCACACACCTTGATTTGTCCCCTGCCCCAGTCCCGCTGCATTCCTACCTCTCCACTCTACCCCGCAGCTCCCACTAGGTGTGTTCTAGAACAGATACAGGTTGCTAGCACCGTCCACTAGCTGTTCCCAACATCGGTTACAAATCTCCGCGAGGGACAAAAACATCTGTTCAGTCAGAGACTGGGGAAGTCAAGACTGCGGGTGCCGCACTGCGGGGATGCACAAATCCGGAGCTGAGTCAGAGAGAGCCCCTTGCCCCCTCCCGCTGCGGTCGGCGGTGGCAAAAGATTTTCGAGATAGCAGGTACTCTTGCAGAATGGCACTGCGAGGCCTCCCGAAACGCACACAGCTAGGGCGTCCCGCGGTTCCCCCCACCCCCACTCTACCCGCCCCCGACCTTTGATCTTTTTCCGCTTCCCTCGGCTCAGAGAGGAAACTTTCTCCTCAATTCCCTTTTTCCTTGCGAGAAAGCTGTTTGCATCTGCGCTGTTGTCCCGCAGCGCGCCTAACGGGTGCAGGTGGAAGGGCGCGGCGCGGGGGCGCGGAGGCGCGGAGCTCGAGACTTCTGGCTCCGAAACCCCGCAAGCGAGGGCGTTTGAATAGTCTCCGCAAGGTAGACAGAGGGGAGGCAGAGCCGCCTTCAGTTACAAATAAATTTTGTATTGTTTATATTTTGCTAGGTAGTACATGCACATGGAGAAAAGAAATTCAAGCAGGACAAGAGTGCACAAGCAAGAAGGTATTTAAATATATCCTCTTGGGTGCTTAATTCATCTAAGTAGCGTGTGAGCTCTTGGATTTCTGTGTGCAGAGAGGTTCTTATAGATCTTCATACTCCCAGACCCAGACAGAGAAGTTTCCCGAGTCATCCACATCGCTGACGATTTCTGACTTGGTGGTTTCTCATCGCACCTCCTCAGCACTTCGCCCGGCGGTTTCCGGGGAGAACGGCGGCCTTCCCTGCCGGGTTCTAGGCGAGCGTAACCAGCTCTTTGTGACTTCCGAAGTGAGGCTTCCTGGTATCAAACACTCATTATTGACTACCTTGAGATCTAATATGGTTGGAGGTATATGGAGGGGGGCTCATTTTTCTTTTCATTTCCCGATTCCATTCACAGTTAACGTTACCGACGGTTAATAAAATGTAGCTTGTGACTGTAATATGGGGACGGAGAGGTCCCAATAAATGTCAAAAGATATAAGACAAAAAAGTATCTTGCGACTGTACGCGGGACTGCATTGCTCCCAGTTTTGGCTATAGATGCACTAAAAGAACCTGTTAACACACACCAAAGTGCATCCTTATAATAACCTCCTCAATCATTTATTAAAAGTCGTGTCAAGCAGGCCCGTATAATTCATCTCTATGCAAATACATCAATGTCAGGCCATTAGTGTATTGCTCAGGTTTTTATTAAAGTGCATTCTTTTTAATTCAGCCCCGTAAAATACGAGCCCCATTGCTCAAGAATTATAGCAACTATTAGAGTAACATATGGGCAACATGCACTCAGAAAATAAAAACCAACAGATAAAGTGGCAGGGTCACATCGCAGGAGCAAACACTTAACAAAATGGCAGTGGGGTAATAGATTTTTCTCCCAAGGCCTTTGGCGAAAGGGTGTCATGGGCATTAACACCTAAGGAAAGGCAGAGCCTGGAAGTTACTCTGCAAGGAAAGGTAGAGCCTCGAAGTTACTCTGTGCTGTCTCAAACTCAGAACCAGCCAGGACTGGCATCTCTGGAGTTAGGAGAGGGGAGGCTTCCTGAGCTCCTCTACATTCGGCTACCATCTTTCTATAAAAGGATTTCAACATACCCCAGAGAAGGGTGTTCTGCTTTTTCTTAAAGCAAGAATCCCTTAAGAGATTTCGATGTAGGGTTTATGGCCCAACGCTCCTCCCTCTCTCCTCTCCACTCCCCCACCTCCTTCCTCATCTTGGCTATCTCTCATCCCACACTTGCCTCACTGGAAGCCCCACCCACCTCTAGTACTTTCTGGGATCACCCTTCCCTCCCTGCCTCTGCAGGAAGGTTGAGAAGGCCCGTGGATGTGTAGGCAAATTTCCCTCTCATATGTGGAAGCCTGTGTAAAAACTTCCCATTGAAATCAATCCATAGCTAAAAATAAAACATATTTTAGCTCCCAACTCAGAAGAAACTTAAATGCCCTCTGCCTGCACCCCTCACCTGGCACTGGCACTCGGGGACGCCCAAGTTTCCCAGGTTAGAATGCATTGCTGCAAATTTTGTCAAACCGGGGAAAACTCTAGCCTGATCTGAGAGGGATTTTGCTATTTTAGTTACTGAGGACAGAGTGGTGGCCAGTGGGTGGTGCCCTGCAGCCCTTCAGCAGACGCCTAGGCTTGAGATGGAATGGGGAAGAGAGAGAGAGAGAGAGAATGAGAGAGAGAGAGAGAGAGAAGAGAGCACGCACGAGCAAACTGGTTTGCAACAGCCCCTGACAAATCCACTGGAGAAGTCAGCAGCATCAAATTCAGTTTTTTATTTTTGATTGCCATTAGAACAATCAATTTTCAGAGGCTGGAAAATAAACCTCAAATCCAAAACACAACACAGCCTAGACAGAAAAATAGAGAGAAAAGTGGAAAAAACTCCTAAGAACAATCTCCCAGATTTAATGAGAGAGTTGCCCACATCCTCATCACCCCAGGATGGTAATTGAGCAGATCTATTAACTTGTTACACTAGATTTGTTTAAAGAGACTATTACACAGTCATTTAATCAATTTGTTACACTGGAGGTCCTGACTTATGAGACACTTGCCTTATGATTCCTTAATGACTGAATTAATTTGTTTTAATAAAACCAACATTGTGTACAAGTACATTTCTAGAAATGTAATTTTGGAGACAGAACAGTCCAATGCTTCATCTGATTAGGTCCTTTCTATAGTTTATCAAAGTCTGTAGTTTCTGACATAGCTGCTTGTATGGAGTATTTTTCTTTTTTATAGCGTCATTAATTTAATATGGATCATTAGTTCTTTATACACATGCATGTTCTGACAAATGTACCCAATGAATAATGCAGCTAATGTGCTTAGGCCCAAATGCATCACATCATAAACAGAGACCTCTGCAAAAATAACAACAATGAAATGAAACACTACCTCCAGTCACCATGGTCATCATCAGGGTAGCATTCCAAGTTATATTTAAGTCTTGTTTTGTAGAGCAAGACGTGTTTGGCCCTAGGATTATATCAACATAACCAACTGGGTCTAACTATGTAGTGAACACAAATAGATTTATGGAGAATTAAGGTTGCCTTGAAAGCAGATGCAGGACAAGAAAATTGGTTTTGCTCTTGATGGAAGCTGACGTGTGTGGAATAAAATGTAAATAAACAGAGAGTCCCCAAGAAAAGCGACTTGATGTTATTGATTATGTAAAATAATTAGGACATTACAAATGATAATGCACTACAGATTGTTGGCATGTATAGCTTGATTTTTTTTTTTTTTCCGAAGAAATGGTGTAGGCTCTGAAACACCACTTGAAGAATGGGCCATGATGTGGGACAATAAAAAATTAGTACTGGAGTGATTGGAATGATCAGCTTCTAACCAATAACTGATATAAATGATAACTGAATGAGCCCGCTACAGAGGTAAACATTTGAACTTAGAGGAATAGAAGGAGGAGTGGTGGTCCTACATGATCACTGGAGGCATAAAGTGGCTCTGCGTAATGTGGGTAACTATGCACAGAAGCCAAATATTGACTAAATAGCTCAACAATTATTACAGGGGAGAGGGAGATGCTGGATATATTTTCAATAAGGAGGTGCCTTATAAATCTTCCTTAACAATGCTGGGCAGGCAGGCATTTGAACTTGATTTCATTTTGAATAAAGACTCCAGACTGCACACATATTATCAGTATATTTGAATGCTTTCATGCTTTCCTTTTGCTGTCCCTTTCAAACAGAAATGGATGTGAAAGTTGATGAACAGAATTTGTAAATAAAAAGAGATGGCTACTTCTGCTGTATCAGAAGTAATAATTCTTACATAGCAATGAAAGTCAACTTACAGTTATATGAATAGAAAGAAATCTGCTATACTAATGGTCTGAAAAAAGCTCACCAAGATTTCAATAAGAGGCACAAAAATCAGATGAAGTTGTATTTATTGGTTATGGCTAAAACAATGTAATGTTATTCTTAGTTGGGATTCTCTTTTGAAACCGATCTTCTAAACATGGTTCTGTTGATAAAATAGGCTGAGTCATTCACCCTAAAGTTTGTGGATAAGGTGAAAGATGCCATTAGAGTTTTGGTTTTTGAAGCATAAACATTTGTAAAACAAGAAAGAGTTTTAGAAATCATACAGTTCTCAGTTCTGACATTTTCACAAGCTACATTTATCTTTTCCATTTCACTATAGCTCAGTGATTTCTCTGCCTGAGACAGGAATGTTTATGATGATAAATCAGTGTTGTTTAATTAGATTCATCTTTACTTCATTTTAATGTTAGTTGGAAATGTATTTCTTTACTTTATAAAAATGAATAATTTAATCACTTCCTGGTATAAAATAAGTGATGTGAGACTAAAAATCAATGCTGGATCTTTTTGGAATTTTTTGATTGATTCTATATTCCTTATGTAATATCTTACCTTCTTGCTTTGACAAATGAATTTTATGCATTTCTTTCTATTTGTAAGCAGCTAGTGCAAAATGTATTTGTTATTTATTACAAAGTAAATGATTTTGACCTTTAGCTCATTTCACCAGATGTTATTTCTGACCATCCCAAAAAGCCTGTTTAAAGTCAACAACATTAAGCATTCGAGGTCATAAGACCAATTCAAGGTCATTTTAGTCCTGGCAAAAGGTTAATTAGATCACTGCATTAAAACTGGAATAGACTTTTACTCAACCTCATCTAAATAAGCATAGACAAGCTTACCTTACCTTTCAAAGTTTCCTTAGAGATTCTAGCTTATTTCTTAGAATGGCAAAAATAACTTTTTATAAATATAATTTTTAAATTATCCTTTACCAATTTTAATAATATTTGTCATCTGTTGGGAGCTTACTTTATACCAGGCCACTATGTAACATATTTTTCATCATCTCATATAATCCTCTCAATAACCCTATGAAGTAGTTATTATTATTATGATCCTCATTTTAGAGATGAGGCTATTGAGGCTCAAAGACGGGACCGAGATTAACAGAGGTATTAATCTGGAAGCAAACTCAGGCTCTAAGCTGTTGCACCATGCTTCCCCATAAAACATATTATGCACCGTTTTAAAACTGCAAACTCTTTTTTATCTTAACTTGCAGCTGTCGCCTTTTATATAGTTTAACATGATAGAATCAGGGGGCCTAAGAAATGTATATAGCTATTCTGGTTCTAAGAACAATGACATTTTGTGCTTACCTCACACCGCTCTTTAATAAACAAGTATTGAGTATGATGATAAATCAGTGTTGTTTAATTAAAACTGTCCCATAGTGTGTATGACAGTAACCACAACTGAATGTAAATGGTGTGCCTGATCTCCACAATTAGGAAGTTCTCTTTTTTGTGATTAGGTGAGATGTAAGAACAGATCACAGGTTGCCTATTTGTGCTTGGGAAAAGTAACTTACTAAACAGTTTCTTTTGGTTCCTGAAGAAAACAATTTGTACTCTCTAAGGGACAGTTTCTTATGGGACTCTGTCATTCCTAGAGATAAACTTCTCTCCTAGTAAATTGACCAGTAGATTGTAATGACATCTTATGAGCTCCTGTGGGTGTTTGCAAACAAAATCCTGGTAAGACAACTTACGGTGTAATTTTGGAATTGTTAGACATTGTCAGATAAGCATCCTACTTTAGAGTTATTTTTTCCTGGTGACTGGGAGGATTTGTTATTCAACTCTATACCTCAGCACTGCATTTTTTTCTATTTGTTTCATCTGGTTGTTAACCTGCTTACTCTGTGTAGGCTGAAGTAAATCTTTTGAAGAAAAAAGAATACATATTCTGCTGGAGTCTTTCTTTATCTGGATTATTTTTCTGGTTGGCCTCTGAAATGCAACTTTCTGAGACTCTTCCAGGCCACAAATTTCAGGGAAATCTTCTCATAAGCCTATTTCTACTTTCAAGATGCACAGTATTAATTATATACTGTGGAAGATTCTTCAGTGGAATGAATCTGGGCTCAGAGGGCAATGGATGTTCTCTGTCCTGCCTTCCAAAACAGCCTGTCCTTCTTTGGGTTCCTGTGAGGCTGAACACCCTTTGGGACAGGGTTAAAGACAGAACATTTAGGAGGAGACAAGCAAGGTCAATTGATAAGTAACTTAACGTCAGGGCCTGCATAGCATTTTCTTTTCGAGTGACAAAATTAATATAATGAATATTCCCCTCATTTAGATTCTGGAATTACGGTTTTCAACATAAAATTCAATTCTGATATACTAAATATGATAAAACTTAGAAACCTAGAATCCATTCTACAAGCTGCCATATAAAATTGTTGGGCCTGGCGTGGTGGCTCACGCCTGTAATCCCAGCACTTTGGGAGGCAGAGACTGGCAGATCACGAGGTCAGGAGATCGAGACCATCCTGGCTAAAACGGTGAAACCCCGTCTCAACTAAAAATACAAAAAATTAGCCGGGTGTGTTGGCGGGCGCCTGTAGTCCCAGCTACTCGGGAGGCTGAGGCGGGAGAATGGCGTGAACCCAGGAGGTGGAGCTTGCAGTGAGCGGAGATCGCGCCACTGCACTCCAGCCTGGGCTGCAGAGCGAGACTCCGTCTCAAAAAAAAAAAAAAAAAAAAAAAAGTTATTGTTGGCCAGGCGCGGTGGCTCACGCCTGTAATACTAGCACTTTAGGAGGCCGAGGCGGGTAGATTGCCTGAGCTAAGGAGTTTGAGACCAGCCTGGGTAACACAGTGAAACCCAGTCTCCACTAAAATACAAAAACTTAGCCGGATGTGGCAGCGTGCGCCTGTAATCCCAGCTACTCGGGAGGCTGAGACAGGAGAATCGCTTGAACCTAAGAGGCGGAGGTTGCAGTGAGCTGAGATAACGCCATTGCACTCCAGCCTGGGGGACAGAGTGAGACTCCGTCTAAAACAAAACAAAGCAAAACAAAACAACGACAACAAAAAGTTATTGTCTCCCAGTCACTGTTGACAGCTAAAAATTTCAACTCCAACCTGACTGACCATGGAGGCAACAATTCCTATTTCCAAGTTCCATGTGTACAGACTCCATATAAGCAATTCTTGGCCAGTTACTTTTCAGCTCTTGGTCACTATTGGCAGACTGGATGCCCCTGCTTAGCTCTAAGGCAAGATGTTCCACCTCAGACATCTGATTACAAAATTACAGGGTAGAACTTTTTCCTAAGAGGGAAGCTGGATTTCCTGCTTAGGCTTTCTTCCGATTTGACTTTGGGACCTAGAGGTCTAGGTCTACTCCTTTGCTTTTCCAGTAGGGCTCTTACAAGGTGCCACTTCCCTTACAGTCTTTAGATTGTACTGAGGCTTCAGATTACACATGAAAATGTGGCACCCTCTGGCTTTATATTTAATGGCATAACTAAATTAAATGAGAGAATATGTAATGTGCTAATTAATGCCAGGCATGCAGTAAGTGGACAATAATCAGTTGCTGTTATTATTATTGATGTTATGATTACTAGACTATTGCTCTTATTAATAATGCTATATTGTAGTAATCATAACAACAATGGTATTCTTGATCCTAATCAACTTCTACTGTTGGGAACAACTTCTGGTTTCTTGCTCTGAGTACAGTGTAAGGGCTGACATTTTATTTTTGGTACTCCACAGAAGCAAGAGTCAGTTTGAAGATGGGTCTCCCCCCACTCCTTTTATGGGATGGCAATAAACATGGCTGTATCTCATTAAATTTAATGAGCCTTCATAAAATAACCATTACATTCTGAAGGTAATGAAAGAATAGCTTTGATGGTTAGTAAATAAATTACCAATGCAGTTTCATTACATTCTAGAGCTGCACAGGGTGCAGAGGACATTAGGAAGGGGCTGGGACATTTTTTGTGGTAAGGCCAAGCCAGGGTGTGCCCACCTTCACTGTATGAAAGCTGGTGGGGTAACGATCTTCATTTTGGCCGGGGTGTTTCTAGCTATGCCTTGGTTGTGAGATGTGATTAAATTGATTGGCTTAAAAACCTGCTAAAGGATTTTACGTATATCATGTCACTGATACTGAATTTGAATACTATTGTAGTAGGTCAGACTAAATAATTTATCTTGTAAACATAGAGGTAGAGCAGATTGAATAGCGTATGCAAATTTATGTAAATAACCCTACAAATTCAGACTCTTCTCATCCAGGAGCTCTGGTACTTTCTAAACAGGGTGGTAACATTGTAAATCTGGAGTATTAACTTGTGGTTCATAGCCCAGTGGTGTTCTGAATTTATGTGCAAAATCGCATGCATGTGTATTTTTCTAGAGAGAGTCCATAGCTTTCATTGGGTTCTCAAAGAGGTTTACTAACAGAAGAGTCTAAGAACCAGAATATAGAACAGAATAGCCTAAATGGTCATATTACATGAAATAGCATTTACACTTTCTGCTTTTCAGAAAATATTACTTTGCCAGAGTAAAAATATGTCACTTATTTTATGATCCAGCTAGAACTAAAAGTTCTTAACTTTTTAATAGATACACAAATTAAAAGAAATTCTTCTCTTTTATGTACCTGAGAATTCTGCATTGCTTTTCCTTCCCACACTAGTATTTTACCTTCAGCAGTTTTTGGAGTTTTAATTTTCAGTCTTTATTTCTTGAAGTCATTTTTGATACCAAGCCACTGATGGTCTTGGTCAAATAAAGTGGGTCTGAAGAGAGACAAAAAAGGAACAAAGAAAAATAAATCTCTATAAAAGATCCTTTTTGGTGCTGTTTTTCTCTTCCTAATATCCTTCATCTAGATTATATGCTCCCTGAATTAATCTCATTACAATCCAAATATTTCTGATTGACAAATGCAGCAGGAACACTTACATCCATAGATTATCTCTGTGAGATAGGTTGCACACGTATAAGACAGTTTTACAACTTTACAAAATGAGATCCAAAGAAATGTAGAGATGTGTTTAAGATCACAGAGGCCAGCTCTAAACTGGCAAAGCAAAGGCAGAACTCAGAGTTTTAGAGCTGGAAGGGACCTTTGGTATTACTGCATCATACCTTACCAAATTAAAAAAAAAAGACTTTCAGCTAGAAGTTAAGTCTCCTAAATCCCAACTTAGAGCTTATTTATGACACTATATTACCTAAGGCACTTGAGTGTGTGTTTGCAATCAAAGTAAGCACAAAACTCACAATGTGTACCAACTCAAAGGTAATATCCAGTTTGACTGTTTCATTTCTCTCCTATGATTATGTTTATCTATCTATCTATCATCTATCCATCTACTCACATATACACATATGTGCACTCACAAATGTAAGTATGTAGAAGGTACAAGTCAGAACATATACAGTGCTATTTATAAACAGAATGAATTATTTACTTTTCTAGATCTCAACAAACTTCTTTATGAGCAAAATCTTCTCAGTTTAACTGTGCCTAATCACCCTCAAAATGAAGGCATTCTGGGTAAGGGATACTCTGAAAGTGTCACTGGAGTTGGTAAAAATATTTTTTGTTATATTGAAACTTACAAACTGAATGGACACATCAGAAAAATAGGAGATCTATATAAATAGCCTTATCATTTCACCATATTTGGATATTTAACATACTAAGTGAGTGGGTGCCTAGCCTCACATTACTTGAGCTAATGTTTATGAAAAGCATTCAGGGGCTTAAAAATAAGATTATTATTATTAATACTTATTTTAAATTAATTATTTAATTATTGTAAATTAATTTTAATTATTAGTTAATATGTGTTATTATACATTATTAATATTAACATATTAATATTGTTATATATAATTAATATTAATATATTAATTTAATATATAATTAATATTAATATATTAATTTAATATATAATTAATATTAATATATTAATTTAATATATAATTAATATTTATCATACTAAGTGAGTGGGTGCCTAGCCTCATATTACTTGAGATGTTTATAAAAAGCATTAGGGGCTTTTAAAAAAAAACATAAGGTTATTATTACTCACTTATCTGAAGAAATATTTCTTCTCTGTTGATTAAACAAATGTAAAAGAAACCCTAGTATCTTTTCTTATAAGGTGCTTGTAAAACATAGTGAGAAAATCGGCAGCCTTCTCTCAGTTTATGTAACCAACAGCATCCTCATCCCTTAGGGATCAGAGAGGATTCTAAATCCTTGAACCTATGGATTATTATTCCCCATATGTTCTTATGCCTTATATAACTCCTAGTGAGAAGTGCTTGCAAGTGGGAGGCAGAGCAGTTTTTGAATTACAGGAGGACTGGCGCAGCTGAGGCATCACATTAGGCACTCTGGACGCCATTTGGAAAAAATGATCAGACTCCTCACTGTGGCTTGGGCCTGCTTAATGAAGCTGTTAAAGACTTTTTCAGTTAATCTTTAATCTTTTGGCCTCTATGCAGTTTCCTACCTGTTGAAGAGCCTACTCCCTTCAAACAGTGCACGCATGAACTCTTAAATAGGCTTGAATTCATGGGACAGACTCAGAGTCCAGGGACATAACTTGACGACTGAATTAGTAATTGGGTGATACAGGTAAGACTATATCTTCCTGAGTCCTCAGTTCTCAGAACCCTAAGGTGATATCTTAGTGATCAAAGAAACATGCTAAGTGCTTCTAAAGAAGATTTCTGCCTTGCCGGTAAATTTTTCCCCCAGTATTTTCATTTTTTAAAATTTGTTTTCTATCTGTGGAAGGAGGCACAGAGTTGTGAGCCCATTCACAAATATAGACTCACATTAACACCAAAAAAACAAAAACATGGAAAGCAGTGAAAGACCTTAATAGTGAACTATTGCATGTATGTGTGTGTGTGCTGCAAACTATTACTTACATATAAAATAATTATCATTATTTTATTGTAGCATGGTTGTAATTTTTGTCGCATTATAAATATCACAGATTCATTTTTTTCTACTACCACAGCAGTTTCTGAAGATGTGTAAACCCATAGTGTTATTACTCTCTAATCTAGTTGAGGTGATGAAATAGTGCCAAAACTCTCATTGCTATTTCATTAGCATATTCATGAGTCGCACTTTTGCAGTGTTGCAGAAACAACACAAATTGGTTTGTGGATTGTGAACTCCCCCTTCTTTTCCTCTCCAGAAGCACAGACTGTAGATTAGCAAATCAAGTTGGCCCACAAACTTCTGAGCATTAAATTGCATAAGTTTCTGGTCTGCCTTTTATTTCCATATTTTATGATTCTTCTTTTATCTAATGTCATGTGAATGGACATACCGTCCAATATAATAGTAAGAACAGGGTTTGAATGGCTTGGAGAAATGGAAGTTCTGGAAAAGTCAGACTAAATTGTCCTACTAGAAGAGAACATTTCTTTGGTGTCGCTGTTGTTTCTTTTCTTTTTTTGAATGGAAGGTTAAGAGGGCACGTGTAGTTTGGCTGAAACTGGCTAGCAGTTTCCTAAGCCAGGTTCCTTTCCTCTTTGGCACATAACTAGATCACATTTTCCAGCCTCCTTTGCCTTTAGATTTATACTACTATAGTCCTGAGTTCAAGCCAACAGAATGTGGATAGAAGTGGATAGCACAATGTCACTTCAGAAGGCCTAGGACCTGATCCGTGAACACTTTGTGATGTACCCCTCTTCCCTTGCTCCATCTGCTGGCTGGATGTTGACTCTGAGGGTAACTTTGGCAGTCCGTTGTTGAAGACTGCAGAGCCTTCATCAACCTGGGTCCCTGAATGACTGTGTTGGGTTCCTCTTCTTCATTCCTCCCTGAACTTTAAATGAGAAATAAGCATCCTTTGCAATAATGCACTGAGGCTTAAGATTTTATCTTGGAAAGTAGCTAGCATTGTCTTAACTAATTCAATCATATCTCCATTATCCAGATTTTGTGCTGTTTAAAAAACTTGATAGTTATTATTTAAAGTTTTATTTGACGTTAAAAATGGAACTCTGAGGATCAAACATATGGGTTCTTTCTGTTGTTTGCTGTATTCTTTTTCTTTAGCTCTGTCTTTTTTTTTTTTTTTTTTTCTGAGATGGAGTTTTGCTCTTGTTGCCTAGGCTGGAGTGCAATGGCGCGATCTCAGCTCACTGCAACCTCTGCCTCCAGGTTCAAGTGATTCTCCTGCCTCAGTAGTTGGGATTACAGGTTTGCACACCATGCCTGGCTAATTTTTAAAAATATTTTTAGTAGAGGTGGTGTTTCTCTATGTTGGTCAGGCTGGTCTCGAACTCCTGACTTCAGGTGATCTGTCCACCTCGGCCTCCCATAGTGCTGGGATTACAGGTGTGAGCCACCACGTCCGGCCCCTTGGCTCTGTCTTAACATCTTTTTGCTCCATTTTTACTAATTACATGCCCTAAAGGGACATTATGTAATTAAAGAAACCCATGTCTTTAATCCCTCACCATAAATTAAGTATTTAGGGAAATGATTTTGGACATGTCCAACTGGTAATACTAGATAGAACACTAAAGCCCATCTTTTAGTTAACTAAAACAAAAAACTAGGAAAGTCAGCTTCACTCACCACCCAACGTATTTTTAGAAGTTAAACACTGGGAATATTGATAATTTTAAAGCTTATGCAGCACCTTTGGCTTTTCAAAGTACTTCCACATAACAATGTATGATCAAATGCGTGTTTGCTCAGTGCTTTGAAAGATTTATATATATTTTTGTAAAGAAGAAACATGTATTTTTAAATGAAAAATCTGTATCATAGTGACAAAAATAAAATCACACACTGCTAACACACCAAAAGATCTATCTTACTCCTAACCTTAGTAGGCAGCTAAGGAAAGTTACTCAAGGTGACTGCCTCTTCTTAGCTAGTATTGCTTTTGATTTATATGTTATATTGCTATGGTATTTTCAAAAAACGTGAAGCCATCAAACTTCATGTGGGTAAAGACGGGATACCGAGGCAAATAAGAAAATTATTATTGAAACTACAAGAGTACATAGTGTAAGGGTTGGTACTGAAGCACATAAAACAGCTAATTCTGGATTATTTCTAGCTTATTTGAGAGGCTTACCATGTAGAAATCAAAATGAAGTTTAAATACGTTATAAAATTTCTTTGGTACTCCACATGTGAATCCATTATATTTAGAGTTCAGAGCTGTTTTGAGTAGACGACAGGCAATGTATGAAGTAGCCTACGTTTATATACATTTGAATTATAAATGTTTAACTTAATTTTTCCATGGAAAGATTGCCATAGACACTCATTGTTTACATGATATAATGCAACATAACTGATTTAATTAGAGCCTGTTTTCTGGGTTTGCAATGTCTTTATATTGGAAGGATTGCTTTTTCCATGGTAGAAAACTATCAATAGGTAACACAATTTAAAAGACAACTGCAGAATACATTCTCTTTGCTTTTTTTCAGGCTTCAATCCATTGCTCAATTTAAGTATGGAAATACTGCTTGTCAAAGACTTCTTGACACATGAATTTTACAACAAAATGTCAGCACACTTACTGCTTGGATTTCTAACTCATTTATTGTACAATAGACAGCTAATCCAATCTACTGCTGCAAACATGCTTTGCGCAGTTATGCTGGGGTACAGCACAGTAGTTTTCTTTAAACTGAAGAGTTTTCTGAGTTTTTATTTTCCTTCCTTGGGCACAAAAAAGTAGACAAGATCTATCCTACTTAATAAAAATAATGGTGTTGAGGCCATAGTGTGGAAGAGTAAGGTTTGCAGAGCTGAGAAGTTTTTGTTGTCGCTGGGACCAGCAAAACAGTGCCTTTTGAACCTTAAGGGAAGAATCTAGGGAAGCATGGTGTGAGAACTCAGGATGATTAACAAGGAAATATCTGCTAAACTCTTGGAGAAAGATGCTTTAAAGGGGAAGAAATTATTTCACTTGATTCTGTTGCATTATTTGTGAGCCAAATTAAAATGGAGGAGAAAGATGTATTTAGAATTTACATTTTAGGAAGATGAAAAACATAAAGTGAAAGGAGCACTTTTCCCTCTTATTATTACTTTTAATTGTAAGGAGAGTGTGTACTTAATTGTGAGAGACTTATTCTCACTCCACAGGGATAACAACTGGCTGGTGTCTATAGCCTGCCAGACCTTCCTCTTGCATATTTAAACACATCAATTAACAAAATAAAGGACCATCTTGGACACATGTTCTATTACCAGCTTTAAAAAATCTCACCAATGTATTATGACTTTCTTTGTTGCTACAATATAGTGTATGTGGCAGGCGGAATTCTAAGAATGACCCCAGTGATATTTGTTCTTGTATAATTCCCTTCCCTTTAAGCGTGGGTGGAACCTCTGCATAGGGTGAGATATCGCTCCCTTGATTATGTATCTAAAGGAAGATTATCCAATTGTCCTTTAAACATAGAGAGTTTTTCTCTAGCTAATGAGCAGAAGAAGTCAGAGAGATTGGAAGCATGAGAGGGATTTGATGTGAGGGAAATTCTGCTGCCTCTCTATTATGAACTGCTTATAGAGGGGGCCCCATCCGAAGGGATATGGGTAGCCTATAGGAGTTGAGAGCAGTAGGTTGATAACCAGTAAGGACGTGGGAACATGAGTTCTACACTCAGTCATAATGAACTAAAATATGCCAACAACTTGAACTTGGAATGAGCTTGGAAGGAGCTTCCAGAGGAAAATGCAGGCCCAGCCAACACCTTCATTTCACCCTGGGAGACTTTAAATACTGTGCCAGACTTCACACCTACCATGGTGTTGTTTAGAGCCACTATGTTGGTGGTAATTTTGTTGCACAGCAATAGAACACTAATGCAGTACAGGTGACAATTCTCTTCAGCTTCTTCATCTACACTAATTTCAGGAAGATAAAAGGCCTAACAAAATGAACTTCAGAATTACAGAACTGTGATAGTCATATATTCATTCAACAATATTTATTGAGTACTACAATGTGTCAATCATTGTTCCAAGTGCTGAGAATATATTTGCAAACACAGCAGTCAAAAATGTAGGCAGCCAAATCTCTTTAAAGGAGAATAAGGGAATTGTTAAGTGCAATAATAACCCATATATGTTTAACACTTTACTTATTACAAAGTATTTTTTGCCTACATGTTCTTATTCTCTTTCCCGGTAACATTTTCACTGTGAGGCAAATATTATTAATTATTCTCTTTCTACAAGCATGCAAAACAATGCTTCTATCCTAGAGATAAGGGACTCCACAAACTCACCCAGCTACTAATGGAAAAGCTGGGGCTCTTTTCTCTTTATGTTATACCACTTAGCCCTACAGAGCTGTTATTAGCAATAGCCAGCATTTTAAGGAGTGTTTGTCATGTGCCTGGCATTTTGTGGACTTTACATGGATTATATGATTTAATCTGCATGACCGGTCTGTAAGGTTGATACTACATTTATCCTCATTGTGTAGATGATGAATCTGAGAGTTATCAAAGCTAAACAACTTTTCTATGCCAAAGCCAAGCTCCAAACCCTGGTAGCCTGACTCCAGGATCCATATTCTTCTTCATCATTAAGCTAACTGCCTTCTCAAACCAATGCTACTGTGCTGGCTTTCCAGTACATACAACTTTGTGCTCTGCTGCATGTCCCTTTAGGGCTATGTATGTCCTTAAAATATTAAGTTGCATTTTTGCTAATGTTTCCTGTTTTCCTATATAGGCTATTTTTTCCACTAATGAAATGTGGAGTCATAGGGAAACAGAAAATTAGAGTTTACATTCTTTATAGTTTTCACTGAGAATATGGTAACATGAGGAACACAATCATAGGGCCAAACATAGTCTACTCATTAGACTTTCATCTTTAACAATGCCACCAAGAAAGTTTCAAAGGGTAGAATTATGTACGCCTCCAGTGCAACTCTCTGTTGTCTTAGCAGCTTACTTTGAATGGTTGTCCATGAATGCACACTTCTCTTAGAGAGATTATATATCTTGAAGAGAAGGTCCATATTTTAAACACTTCTCTCATATATAGTACTGTTCTGGATACAACAGCAGGTACATTTCATTAAATTAAATCTCAGCTTACATAATATTGTATTGAAATTACCAATCCCCCACACATTTTTCCCCTAGCCTGTTTTATTTTTTGAAAGTAAGAATTTCCATGTTAGCTTTCTCCCTTCTTTTGCTCTATTAAAAACTCTTTCCAATTTCAATTGGTTCTCTGGTGTTCTGGGTGTGATTAATGAGTCCATGTTCAAGCTGTCCATTCCATTTAAAATGATAATAACTTTGATTGTATCCCCTTCACCCTTTGTCACTAAAACAAAACAGTCTCACTTAAAAAAGTTTAACCTCAGAGACTACAACGTGAACCATCCCATTCACTGTTATTGAACTAATCTGCCTCTAGGGCTCTTTCTTTGTGTTGTGGGGATCAGAATTTTGTGCATAATTTACTATTTGGTATAAAAGTAACAGCTTACTAATTTTATTTTCCTTGCCCCTTGGGTTGATGTTTAATATTTTTCTGCTCTTGACTGAAGCAGGACCCTAGAAAGGCTCACAGCGACTTGTGGATACATTTCCTGGGCAGTGACTCTCTGCTTTTTATTTATTTTTTATTTTATTTTTTCTAGACAGAGTTTCACTCTTGTTGCCTAGGCTGGAGTGCAATGGAGTGATCTTGGCTCACCGCAACCTCCACCTCCAGAGTTCAAGCAATTCTCCTGCCTCAGCCTCCTGAGTAGCTGGGATTACAGGCATGTGCCACCACACCTGGCTAATTTTGTACTTTTAATAGAGACAGGGTTTCTCCATGTTGGTCAGGCTGGTCTTGAACCCCCGACCTCAGGTGATCCACCTGCCCAGCTTCCCAAAGTGCTGGGATTACAGGCGTGAGACACCATGCCCGGCCCTCTGCTTTCTGATGAACTAACCATTTTATCATTATGAAATGATCTTTTATATCTCTATTGATACTTTTTGTTTTGAGTCTACTTTAGCTGATATTGATATTCCAGGCTCTTTATACTTACCCTTTGCATGATATGTATATTTTCTTTTTTTTTTTTTTTTTTTTGAGTCAGAGTCTTGCTCTGTCGCCTAGGCTGGAGTACAGTGGCACCATCTCGGCACACTGCAACTTCCACCTCCTAGGTTTAAGCAATTTTCCTGCCTCAGCTTCCTGAGTAGCTGGGATTACAGGCATGTGTCACCACGCCTGGCTATTTTTTGTATTTTTAATAGAGATGGGGTTTCATCATGTTGGCCAGCCTGGTTTCGAACTCTTGACCTCAAGTGATCTGCCCGCCTTGGCCTCCCAAAGTGTTAGGATTACAAGCGTGAGCCACCGCGCCCAGTTTATTTTCTATCCCTTTGCTTTCAATCTTATCTATGTCTTTGTATTTAAGTTTCTTGTAGATAGCATATAGTTAGACCTTGCTTTTTAAAGATCCATTCTGAAAATATTTGCTTTTTAACTGGAATGTTTAGTGCATTAACTTTTAATGTCACTATTGATATGACTGGATTTACACTTACCATTTTATTTGACTTCTTTTTATCCTCCTTTAAACAAGTATTTTCTTATTTTTTTCTTACTTCAACTCTATGACCACAGAATATCCTCTTTTTGTGTGTGTGTTTCTCTGTTCCATCTTTTCTGTCTTCTTTTTGAATAAAAAATAATTAAAATATTTTTTAGAGTTTTATTTAAATTTACCTATTGGCTTATTAGCTAAACATCTTTTCATTATTTTTTAGTAGGTTTTCTAGGGATTTTATGATACATCCTTATCCTTTCAGTCTAGTTAGAATTGTTACTGTACTAGTTCTTATAAAATATAAAAGGTTTTTAGCAGTAGAGGTCTAAATACTCCTCCTTCATTTTCGTATTACAGTTGTATTATGTCTTACATATCACATTATAAAACCCATAATACAATACTATAATTTTTGCTTTAAACCATCATATGTATTAAAAAATATTAAAAGAAAAAATACGTCTCAGTGTGGTTTTCTTTGTATTAATGCTGCTTAGGTTTTGGTGAGCTTTTTCAGGCATTATTCACTTATATATATTTTTTTCATCCCATTCTTTCTCTTATCTCTTTCTGGGATTCCAAATACATAGACAATAAACTTATTGCATACCACAGATCCCTGAAACTATGTTAAAGCTTTTTCAATCTTTGTTCTCTCTGCAATTTAGATTGTGTGATTTCTATTTATTTATCTTTAAGTATGCTGATTCTTCTATTATCTACATTGTACTATTAATATGCACCAATGAATTTCTTGTTTCAGATATTGTATTTTCTAACGACAGAATTTCCATGTGTTTTTTATAGTTTCTGTTTCTTTGCTGAGATATTCTGTTTTAATTCAGTATGAACATATTTTCCTTTACATCTTTGTGCATACTTATAAAACTGCTTTAAAACCTCTGCTAATTCCAACTTTTGGGAAACTATGATTAGTTTTCTCTAATTGCACTTTCTCTTAAGAATTCATCATTTATTTATTTTTTTTGTATGCTGAGTAATTTTAGGCTGTATTCTAAACATTGTAAATAATGTGTTGTAGAAACTCTGGATTTTGTTATACTCTTCTGGAAAGTATTTAGTTTTTTTTCAGGCAGTTTACTTGGCTGAACTTAGACTTCAATTTGTGTTTTCCCTCTGGTGGATGGCAGCTTAGTTTTCATTTAATTTTCCTAGTCGTCACTGGGCTGTTTGGGATCTGTCTAAGACATGCATGGCTCAGGTGTTAGCCAGAGATTTGGTAAAGTTTATACCAGAATTTGAATTCTGGGGTTCCCATTATTAACTCTAATTTCTCTGGGATTTCTGCCATCAATTTCCAGTAGCTGTTGATTATTGTGATTTACATAGTCTGCTTCCTCAGGCCAATATGACTGGGGGTTTTTCGTCAGAGTTTTGAAAGTTCTGTTTAGTGAAGACTGGGCTGTCCCTCAAGCTAAAAACAATAAAAAATGTAGTACAGAAGCAGAAAATCAAATATTGCATGCTCTCACTTATAAGTGGAAGCTAAACAAATGGTACATGTGGAGTTAAAGATGGAGAAAATAGACCCTGGGGACTCCAAAGTGGGAGTGGGAGGGGAATAATGGGTGAAAAAACTACTTACTAGATGTAATGTCCAATATTTGGGTGATGGGTACACTAGAAGCCTAACCCCCACCATTATGCATTAATATCCATGTAACAAACAAGCACGTGCACCCCTTAAATCGCCAAAAATACCAAAAAAACAAACCCCCTAAAATGGGAAATTTATCCAGTGCCCTTCCCTTCTTCCAGTCGACTTCCTTCTTGTTCCTGCTTGTTTTTCTTCACTCTTCAGTGCCTTGAGGTAATTGTTTTTAAAATTACTTTCTTCATAATTTATAGGTATTATTTATGAAGAATTTTTCTGGTAATAGCTGGAGGTTTGCTATGAAAATCCATTCCAAAAGTGGAAATCATTAATAATTATCTGTCTAAAGCAAAAAAAGTAATCACTTATTGTAGAATTCATAACATCAAATTAAAATCTCAACAGTAAAATAAAGGATGAGGTAGAGGAATTGTAAGATTCTTTCATTACATATAAAGTGTAACATTATTTGAAAGAAGACTATGATAACTTAATGATGCATATTGTAAGTTATAGAGAAACAACTAAAATGATAAAACTAACAAGCCAATAGTTGAGATAAAAAAATCCTAAAAAATATTCAATTTATCCACAATAAAACAAGAAGGAAGAAAAGATGGGATAGGTAGAATAAAAATAGTAACAGAGTTGACTTAAACCCAGCTATTGATAATCAACTTAAATGTAAATGGTTTAAATATTTCAATTAAATGGTAGAGATTACCAGGTTGGAAAAAAATCAAGATTCAATTTATATGGTATCTACATATAATAAAGTTTATTAAATATAAAGACTCAAAAAAAAAAAGATACAACCTAACACTAATCATCAAAAAGCTGAGGGGACTATGCTAACAACAGATAAAGAAGACATCAGGACAAAGACTATTATCTGAAACAAAGAAAGATATTTTACAATGATAAAAGGGCCAGTTCATCAAGAAGGCATAGCAAATATTCATCTAAGTACAGAACTAAAAGGAGAAATAGGTCATCCATATTATAGTTGATGGAAGTAGACAGAAAATCAGTGAAGTTAGAGAGGAATTGGACAATACTATTAACCAACAATATCAACTAACATAATTGATATTTATTGAATATTACGCCCACTTATGGGATAGGCAAATATTGATTCCATTTACAAAACAGGCAAAATTGTGGTGACAAAAAGCAGATCAGTGGTTGTCTAGGCTGACCATGGGTAGACTTAAGGAAACTTTTTGGAGTCATGGAAAATGTTATATTACGGTGATGGTTAAATGAATGTATGCATTGTTGAAACTCATTAAACTGTACACTTAAAATAGGTACATTTTGTCAATTATAGCTCAATAAAGATGATTTAAACACTTTTATAGAGCCTCTAAAAATATAAACAAAATAGAACATGGTAGGTATTAAAAGAATAGAGGCAGAAGAGATCCTGTTTGTTTGGCTGGGTCATGGAATGCTATGGGGTGAATTTATGCATGCGATGGGGAAGATGGTAATAACCGTAGTTAGGCTTAACAGCATGAGCAAAGGCCTGCAGTCAAGAAAGTGCAGGGCATATTCAAGGAGTAGTTTGTCTTGGCCAGAGTAGAGGGTGAGGGACAGTGAGAAGTGGAAGACAGTATGACAGCTGATTGAGAAAGGTTTTATGCTATATAACTGCTGACATGTTTGTAGATACAGGGAAGACACCAAGAGGGGTTTCAAATGTAAGGAGTGAGAGTGGCAGATGGAGATTTCTGTGGAGGGAGTGAGGGGACAGGATCTTGAGATAGGAAAAGAAGTAGACTTGTCAGGGTGCTCTCTCTCCACTTCCTCAGCTTAGCAGGGAGGAGGGAAAAAAATGGAAGAGGAAAAGGAGGGAAGCTGAAGAGATTATGTGAAAAAGTCTCTAGCTTCTATGTAAATTCAGTCATTTGCTACAGCTGAGAAGGCTAGAATGGGTCTAGGGTTTTTAGGGTAAACATGGTTCAGAACAAGTGTGTTAGGAATGAACACAAAATGAGTTAATATTGTATTTCCCCAACTTGTTTCACAGAATACTAGATGTGGTTGTTCTGTGAAAAAGTCACTCTTTAGATAAAACTTTTGAGAAATGGTGCATATATAATCCCCATTTGGAAACCCACAATGCCTACCAGGCTCCACTAAGTTCTGCAGAAAAGAACTTGTTTAACTGAATTTAAACCAGTGTTTTCCAAACTGGTCTGGAACCATGGGATCCTTCACTCACACGAGCATTCTGAGAATGTCTTATAGAAGCAACTTTGCAAAACATGCATTTAAATATTATTGAGTTTTATAGAGGGCCCACCAGAGTTAGATGATGTGGATTTGTCACAGGTCCTGTCAGTGTCATTTCCTCATATCCCCTAGCAATACTCTGTGACCCAGGAGTTAAAAAAGGGGAACAGTGGGATGGCTTAGGGTAAGGGGTTCCCAAGATGGGAATGCTTGGCTGTAAAGTGAGAATGTCACTAGCTCTTAGTGTCCATGAGACTGAAACTGGGAAGAGAGATGAGAGAAGTTGGAATAAAAATGGGAACTAGGAAAACAGGGTAGTTGGTGGCCTTTTTGAAGATGGAGAGCAAGTTGGTAGAAAGGAGGGAGTGAAGGTAAAAGGGGGTGAACAGACAAGAAATTTTGAGAGTTTGAGATAGTAGTGATTCTGTGAGACCCATTCTTCAGATTTCACTGGGATTTGTAAAAATGTAGATGTTGCTTCTTTGGAATACACAATCAAAAACCATTTCTACTGTCATTTTCATAGAGATGACTACAAGTTTGCTGCAGAGACAGTAGATCAGGCGGGTTTTCAATGTGTGTTCATTTTTATCATATCTTTAGCAAAGGGAAGACTGAATGACATCTAGTCTAAGAAGGCTGACAGCCAACCTTAAATTATTTTGCAATGTAAGATCTTTGTATCTAGAGACTGAGGACAATTGCTCATTGCTCATATTGATTTATATCAGGGAGTGCAGTGAACATACAATTAATAGTTGACTTCATTGGCAGCCAGCTGTTAGTGCCATAATTTACTATGAGAATGGTTTGGTCCAGGGATGAACAAGAATTATACTGGGAACTGTATTTTTTAGCATTTTAAAGGTCAAACTCAACTCTTATTAATTTAGTCAGAGGTTTAGGTTGATTAAAAAAAATTTTTGCTGATGCAGAGTCCCTCACATGCTAATGTGATGCTAAGCGTAGGAAAAGTCTCTTTTATGCCCTGATTTAAAGTTTTCCTTGATTTTAATGGCTAATGAAAGCCAAATTTGGACTGGGCACAAAATATCTTAAGATACTCTTAGAGAAGCCTTCAGAATCTCAGAGAGTCAGAAGTCAGAAGATAGCAGTCGTTGGGCAGCAATAAATATTTTTTGCTTCTTGGAAGAAATACTTTAAGCTACATCAAAGAGATGATTATAGCATAGGTATGGCTCAACTTAAAAATAATAAGCAGAGATTTTGTTCTGTGGCCATCTTAGTATTTTTTTTTTAAATTTGTATTGTGTGTCTATTACGTGCCATGCCACAATGCCAGGTGCTCTACCTGCATGCTCCCTCTCAATTTTTAAAACAATTCTGTGGAGTGTTCTTATTCTCATCTCTGTTTTGGATGGGAGGAAACTGAAACTCCTGGAAGACAAGGTGGAACAGCTCATGGATGGGAGTGCACAAATTAGAATCTAGGCAGCCTCACTCTAGTATCTGTGCTCTGAAACATCAAAACATCATCACACCAGGCTGATCTTCTGAATGCAGAGCCTTGCACCTAAGGAAGTAGGGATGTGGGTGTTTACCAAGTACAGTCTTTCTCCACCCTTTAGGAATCTTAAGACCTAAGCATAGCTCAGAGGAAAAAAATGTCTGGAGTCAGATGACCCAGGTTAAAGCCCCAGTTTTCCTATTTTCTGGCTTTTATTTAACTTTTCTCAGGCTTAGTTTACTCAATTACAAAACAGGCATTATAACCATAAAAATATGCCTTATAGGTTTTTAAAAAGATTAAATGAGGTGATGTAGGTAAAGTGCTTAACAATAAGCCTGGCACATAGTGAATTCTTAGTAAATTTATATCACGATTTATTATCATTCTTATGAATGCATACCCATGACACACATAAGAAAAAAACACCAGAGATGCAGCCCCATGGTAAGTTCTTTCAAAGTCAGGACTGGATAGGACATTTAAAGAGGGCTCACTCATTGTACCATTTTTTGGGGTATTTTATTGTATAAAAGTACAATATGGCTTCTACTGGGACAATGTGAGCATCAGAATGATAGCAATGGCTTTCAAACCATTGAATAAAACAAGAATTTATAATACTACACTGATATAAATAAATGGGAAAAAAGGAAAAACCCTTAATTACAGTAGAATGCCAGCTAATACACAGAAGAGAAATAATGGAGTTAGAAAATCACCTTTTAGCAAACATCTTGGTAGTATGGATTTATGAAAAGATCATCAATAAATGTTAACACTAATGGGTAAAAGTTTATCAAGAACAGTACATTTACATAGTTCCAAAGCATCTTTCTAGAAAACACATATTAAATAAATGAGAAATAGGAATTTGACATTGGAGAAACCAAGTGATTAAAGTTAATGTCATAGTAATGAGTGCAGACCAACATCACATATTTCTTAATACGATGCACTGAGGTGGATAAAGCGCCACATCTGTGTCAATACTGCCAAAAATGCATAGTCTTAACCTGATAGTAAGGAAACATCAGACAAAGCCGAATTGAGGGGCCTTCCTCAAAATAGCTTGATGTGTCTCTTAAAAATAGTCAAGATAATGAAAGAAAAATATAAACCGAGGAACAGTATCAGATTGAGATTTAAGAGATGTGGCAACTAAATGCAATGTGTGATAATGGTCAGAGGTTATTTTCCTAGAAAGAGCATTATCTGGATAATTGACAAATATGGGGAAATGTGAATAGGTTCTGCAGGTTAGATAATAGTATTGCACCAATGTTACTTTCTGGATTTTGATAATTGATTATGGTAGAAAATGTCTCTGATCTTGGGAAACATATACTGATATATTTAGTGGCAAAAAGGCATTATGTCTGCAACTGACTATCTAATGGTTCAGAAAAAAATTACATTCTCTTTCTCTCTCTGTCTCTCTCTCTCTCTCACTCTCTCTCTCACACACACAGAGAGAGAAAGAATGGTAAAGCAAATGTTATAATATGTTAACAATTGGTGATTATGGGTGACATGTGTATGGAAGCTCTCTGTACTATTCCTGAGCATTTTCTGTAAGCTTGAAATTATTTCAAAATAAAAAGTTACAAGTCGCTTCAAAAAGTAGTGTATGGGAAATGAGTTATATAAGATAGTTTCCTTCAGTCAGCAAAACCAGATTGACAGAGTCAACTTTTGTTAATGGAAACTTCCAAATTTCCCTAGTATATATATTTTTTTGTTTTGGTACATTGTATTTTTCTGATTTCCCTTTCTTTACTAGATAACAATTCATAGTCAGTCACTACTTCAGTTCCCTCCAACTAAATAATTTCTTTTTCTGTGGACATTTTGCAATGGATTATGTCAGACTTTTCAGATGGTTAAGTTCATTTTCCGTATGAAGACATGAAGGCTGCTTTGTTCATGTTGAAACTTAAAAAAAATTATACACTTGCAGGAGATTGAATATCTATTCCCATTTCATCACCTCTCCATGCATCCACAGTCTTTGCCATGTGACTTTTGAGCGCTTCCCAGTAGAAATTAAGTGTACTTCCCTGCTTCTCAGCTTTGGTCTTGATCATGTGACTTACCTTTGGTCAATGGGATGTTAGCAGATGAAATGCAAACAGAAGCTTGAAATGCCTCCATACATCTTGAGGTCAAGGATATTCTGGGAGCAGCTTCCTGGATTTAGAAGTCCATGTTCTTTTCCATAAAGAAACTGCTTCTGCAGAGAGGCCTGGATTCTTTTAATTTTTAAATTTTATTGATTTATTTATTTTTAATTTTACTTTGAGTTCTGGGCTACATATGCAGAACGTACAGATTTGTTACATAGGTATGCATGTGCCATGGTGGTTTGCTGCACCTATCAACCCGTCATCTGGGTTTTAAGCCCTGCATGCCTTAGGTATTTGTCCTAATGGAGAGGCCTGGATTCTAAGATCAAAATTCTTCTGAAAGTATCTCTCCTTGAATATTCCCAAAAGCCTCTTAAGAAAGACAGTAAGTTCCTAAGATGTAAAACTTAATTTTTGAATAACCTGTATCTTCTTTTTGCCAAATATGAATAAACACATTTTCCCTCCTGAAATTTGAATGTCTCCAATTTAAAAAGGGAAACCTATAACTTCTATTAAAAAGAACCTTTGTATTTTACCCATTGTTCAACAAACATTCATTGGACATTTTATTCCAAGCTAAGTACTGTGCTAGGATATAATAGTGAACAGACAAGTAAAGTCAGTGATTACTGGGTGATGGATGGGTGCTGTGGAAGAAGTTCATGCACAGGGTGGAAACCACAGACGATTCTACTTCCAGTTAGAGACGGGAGGAGAGAACGGGAGCTAGAAGGTGTGAGTAAGGCTGGAGATGTGGGTACAGACTGATCAGATTTCCTGGTAGCAATAAGAGCATATAACATCATAAAACAGGGGATTTCACTGCCCTGAATCACTGCCAAACAGGTATGTTCTGTGGTTCTACCCTTCCTTTTCTCCATTTTGGCTTTGAAGATTATTTACAAGAGAAACTGGTCATGGGAGACCGAAGGTCTAATCTCTCAAGCTAGAGTTTTATGTATCTCTGTTCTGATTTTGTTTTTGGAAAAGAGTGGTAGTTATAGTGAAGACAATTTAAATGGTATTCTGTTTCTTGTTTTTGCATTGGAGGGTGCCACGTTAAGGTAACAAAAGAGCAGAGCTTTGAAAATTGTACTACATTTTAAAGAGACAAAGTATTTTCATTGAGTAGGTGGAAAAATCGCTGACAATGTAGTGATCCACACTGCAGCTAAAAATAGCTGTAACTAAGAGCATAACAACAGCCTGGCTTAGCAACAACAGAGTGGGCCAGGAAAAATACCGCAATTCTCTTGCCTGGTCTTCCAAGTGTAGAAGGAATTGGTGAAAGAAGTTGGATGTATGTAAAAAGGAAAATTCTGTTTTTACACATCCAGAAATAATTATGATAGGCAAAAGTAAGGTATTTTAACTTCCATCAGTTTTAAATGTCACATCCCCTTTCTCATTCCACTTTGACTTCCTTGCCATTATACTTGCCCTCAGGCATTTTTGATACCTGTCTAAGGGGAAGTTGACTTGGGGAATCATTTAGTTACAGTTTAGTAGGACATATGTCAAGATTGAGAATAAATTGCATGTATAGTTAAGTTATTCCTCGCAGACTCAATGTAGGAAAGTCTTCCGGGAATATTCTTACTGCCTATTGCAGTGATGTAGTTTGTGATGGGAAGGTGTAAGGCCAGAGATTATACGTCAGCATGAACACGGCCTGTAGCACCTACTTCTGGAAATATGTGAGTAGTAGAGGAGAAAGACTGAAATGTACAGGGCTACAAACCAGTTGATGGAAAATACTCCCAAATCATCAGTCACAAAAAGTTTTAAGTGGGTAATTTGGTTTTCATCAATGCCTAATCAAATTGGATGTTGTCTCTTACCAGAAATATATTCAATAATACAAAGCTTACAATTATAAACTCACAATGATCTTTTTTCTTTTTTGGTAAAAATTGTGCAAAATGGAATTTCTCAGAATTCCTGTGTTATGCAGGCATGAACTGTAGCAGAACTCCAAACAGCAGGTACCTCAGTGTTTGAAGTAGCATGTTTTATGCATTCCCGTTGATTGGATCATGATTTAGCATATGTCACGCCTCTTGTACTGACACTGTCTATTGTTTCCAGATTACATGGCACACAAAATTGCCACCACTAAAATAGCTTGATACTCTCTAAATATTGTCTCAATAAACTCATATAGAGGTCCAGCACATTTTGTTAGTGTTATTCCTAGATATTTTTTACTTTAGGTTGCTGTGTATGTTGTCTTTTTTTGCATTATATTTTCCAGCTACTTTTATTGATGGAATTTTCCAGCTACTTTTATTGATGCAATACTAATTTGTGTGTGTGTGTGTGTGTGATGATATCTAGATACTTTACTAAACTCCCATACTAATATATCATTTTTCAGTTTATTTTCTTAGATTTTGTAAGTATTCATACTATTGCTATTTGTAAATAGCAATAATTTTTCTTCTTCCCTTCCCATTTTCAAATAATTATGGCATTTATTTCTCTTTTACAAACAGCTCAAACAACTGTTTTTACAAACAGTTGGATGGGGAGGAGGGACAAATGATAAAAGGAGGACAAATGTAGCTAAATGTCTAGTGGTATAATTCTGCTAAGGTGCCCTTAGAATTTCAAGTGTCCACATGCTGGATCTCTCAAGAGGTGCATTTATGGGATTTTTGAAACTTCTTTGTGGGGATCTGTCCATTTCTCTGATGGAAATCGTGCACTTTTAGGCATACCTCTTGTGACCTTCCTTTCAACTCCTGCTTCCAAGTTCAAATCCAGCAGCTTCTTACTTCTGGGATCTGCTCATCTGGGAGGCCATGCTTGACCCAGCTACCTTTCATGGCATCTACTTGGCTCATGGGAAACCTACTCTCTTTGCCATGTAAAACTCTAAGAGTGTAATGTGCCCAAATGCTGCTTTTTTTTGGCAAATGCAGATTGCTTTCTGCCTTCCACATCCACCAGGCTAGAGGCAGATACTAATCTCAAAATTCATAACCCCCCAAACTCTAGAAGACATGCTAATTTCTCCTTAGAACTTTTTCACATGGCCCTGTGGCATCCCTGGGCCCCCAAATTTTGTAGCCATATAAACATCCGTCTGGCTAGTGAAAGTAGGTCGTTCTAGCGAAAGGTGTTCATAGTGCTGGAGCAGCCTTTTAGTAAGGCTGGTCTTGATGTGATTATTTCCTCTTTCAGATTGTAAAGGCACTTATTTTGCCTATTGTTTGTAGCTTTGTGGCTTCAGGTACAATCTCATGAGTACAGGAATTGACCTATTTAATGTTCCCTTACATACAAATATACACTCATTTTTATTCAATTATTGGCAGCTTGTGAGTCTAAAGGTCGAATCTGTTTATAGGCAACTTATGATAGTATCTAACTTAAAAGTAAGGTTATGCTGGGCATGGTGGCTCACACCTGTAATCCCAGAATCTTGGGAGGATGAGGCAGCAGGATCACTTGAGCCCAGGTGTTGGAGACTAGCCTGGGCAGCATAGAAAGATTCCATCTCTACAAAAAGTAAAAAAAAAATTATCTGGGCATGGTGGTGCATGCCTCTGGTCCCAGATACTCAGGAGACTGAGGTGGGAGGCTAACTTAAGCCCAGAAGGTTCAGGTAGCTGTGAGCAGTGATTGTGCCACTGCACTACAGCCTGGGCGACAGAGTGAGATCCTGTCTCAAAAAGCAAACAACTCCCTTCAACCCCTAAACCAAAGAAACTAACATTACGCTATGGAATTTGATAATTGTAAGTGACATGTCTGAAGACTTTTGGACTCTTCAAACTTTCAATTGTATTTCCCTCTTTTTATTAAGTGATCCCTTAAGGAGTGTCAGTTCTGAAATGAGAGATTCTATAAATGTGAAAACAAGTAGAGAAAAAAGAAAGTCCCACCAGAGTCTGCTGGCCTGTACAAGCTAAGTGAATTGCTGCCACCTTATAGCCTTGACATAGTTTGATTTAATTGCTTCCTTTAGCAGTTTTAAATCATTACATGTCTTAGCCTTTGACTAAAAAATTAGTCAAAACCACAAATATTGAAATGACTAATGCTAGAGTAAATTTTATTTAATACATCTATTTTTCATTTATTTACTTTGTTCTGTAAAGATATGGAAAACATTTGACCTACATTTGTAGTTCCTCTCTAAAAGACAGTAGTAGTGTACCATTTGTTGAAACAATGTATGGTAATTTTCAGTGTTTAGAATAATAGACGTTTGTCAAAATTAAACTAAACTCCTCTTCAAATAATACTATGTTTTACTTAATATGAATTGGTCAAATATTAATATGTGAGAGAATTGCGAATGATTCTGAAAGGCTGTTAGCAATGAATCCAAAGAAATGTTAGACAGGATAGTCTTGTGAAGGATAAATATAAGTATTTATATTTAGCTTTATAATATTTCCCAAATCATATTAAGTTTTCATGGGCTCTATGGGCTTTGCAGCTCCTTGGGGGCTTCAGGCTACAGATTTCATGTATGTATATGTATATATAATGTTTAATACTATTGTTTTTTACTTTTATTTTTAATGTTAGTGGACACATAGTAGGTATATATATTTATGAGGCACATGGGATATTTTGATAAGGGCATGCAATGCATAATATGCAGGGTAAACAGGGTATCCATCTCCTCAAGCATTTATCCTTTGTGTAACAAACAATTCAATTGCACTCTTTAAGTTATTTTACAATGTATAATTAAATTTTTTTTACTGTAGTCATTCTGTTGTGCTAGCAAATACTAGGTCTTATTTATTCTTTTTAACTTTTTAACCATTATTTACTATTGTTTTTTAAAGTAGCTCAAAAGTCAATTGTTTTCTCATAAGTATGTTGCCCATGGATAACTCCTGACAATCAGTGAGACAAGAGAGCTCTAAATAAAATGCAAAATAAATAAAGATCTTATGAATCAGAGCTAATATATGTGGAGGGTTTGATTCTCTAGGCCCCTTATTCAATAAATTCAACAAATGGCATATTTATTAAGTGCCTATAATTATTAGTATTTTTCTCAATTCCTGGGAAAAACATAGATATGATCTTTACTCACTGCTAGGATGATCATATTTGATAATTTGGAAGGAAGCCTTTTCAGCTTTACATGTTGATTTTCTAAAATTATCCACTTAATACAGTTTTCACTGGCCTGACTGACATTCCCAGTTCTTCCTGCAAAAAGAGACCAAGATAACTATTCCCTCCTTCAGTAATTCTCCCGTTTCTTTTTTGATATTGCTTCTTTAGCCCTCAATTTTATTGCCTTTCAAATATTTCTAAATTAACAAGTGAATACAGCAAACTTGGGACTTTAGTTTTAAACCCATTGGCCATGAGTTCTAACCACTAGGAGGAGCTCTGTATTCCCAATATTTTTACACACACACACACAAACACACACACACAGACCACACACACACAGCCATGTCAAAATGTACACAATTGACTATAATTTTTAGTAGGAAGGATAAAAGTATCATAAATAAAATAAAAGGCAGGATGTGCATTCTCCTCGGATCTTTCTTTGTGCTGTCTTTTCTCCAAGATGCGTGAAACTTATGGGTTAAAATAGAGCTTCTAAGTATCTTCCACTTGGGGGATGCCTCCAGTTTTGGAAGGGTAAGCTAGGTCAGGGTGCGGGGCAGAGAGCAGAGAGAGAGAAACCTTGAGAAGACACTTAGGCGTTCTTCACACAACGCCTTGCGAAGAAGGAATGGAGCTCATCTTCCCCCAGTGTTGCATCTGTTTGGCCAAAGTCAGATATGTGGGTGTGGGTGAAATTGGATAGTTCTTTGTTCTGCTTCTAGTATAAGTCTTAAGTTGAAGTGGTAGAATGAATCCTTCAATCTTCTACATGGTCCAGCCCAGTTCATCATAATAGAAGGCCCAAAAGCTCTGGTCCAATGCTCTCGCTAGTAAGAACATGCATGTGTTTTGATTGTCCTTTGAGTCTGACATGTCTCCTCAGCTTACTGCAGTGGGAGACAACTGTTAAGTCCTGAAATATTCCATTCTAGCTGTATCTCATTAAGAGACTCAAATAACACTTCCTCTGCATTTGATTGAGCATAATATTCAATCATGCAGGTGTATATGCATGGATTTTCTATGTTGGCAATAGTGTATGTTGGCAATGCGACATCAAGACTTCAAAAAGATAAAAAATGCCTCTTAATAAAAAATACCTGATAAACAAATATAGTAACTATTAAGCCCTTTGGCTTTCTTCTTTATCCAGTTGCAAAGGTAAAAATATGTGCCACAAATAATTCAGACAATTTAGAAACATTTTAAAAAAGTAAATGACCTTCAAAATCTTAAAATTTCATATTCAGAAATAACTATTGTTCACAATATATCAAATTGTGAATAATAGTTATATTAATATATGCAATATGCTAACAGGTAATATTAATGTATTTATTTGTTAGTAGAATATATATAAAATACATTAACAACTGATTTACATAAACATTTGAGAAATATATTTTGAACATCTTTTCAGTGCACAAGGATCTACATCATTATTTCTAACAACTATAGAGTATTCTGTTATGTGTAATTAATTTCCTTTTTTTTACGCATTTTATTATGAATTTTGCTGCGCTAAATTTTGTTGTGTATATTTTTATGTTTGCACATCTTTCAAGTATATCTATATGGTCAACTATTAGAAGTAAAATCAGGCCGGGTGCAGTGGCTCACGCCTGTAATCCCGGCACTTTGGGAGTCCGAGGCAGGCGGATCACAAGGTCAGGAGATCGAGAACTTCCTGGCTAACACGGTGAAACCCCGTCTCTACTACAAAAACACAAAAAGTTAGCCAGGCGTGGTGGCGGGCACCTTTAGTCCCAGCTACTCAGGAGGCTGAGGCAGGAGAATGGTGTGAACCCAGGAGGAGGAGCTTGCAGTGAGCTGAGATCGTGCCACTGCACTCCAGCCTGGGGGACAGAGCAAGATTCCGTCTCAAAAAAAAAAATAAAATAAAATAAAAAATAAAGAAAAAATAAATAAATAAATAAAATAAAAAGTAGTAAAATCACTGGGCCAAAGGGTCAGCACATTTGAAATTTTAATAGAATTTATCAAATTTCTTTCTTAAATGTAAAGATGTGTACTTCTCATAGCCTGTAAACATTTCTCCACATTCTTGGATATATTTAGGCTTAAAATCTTTTGAAATGTTTAAAATAAAAATTCTATTATTTGTTTTAATTTGTATTTTAGATAAGTTTGAGCCAGGTTAATTGACTATTTGTAGTTCTTCTTCAGTGATTTCCTGGTCATTCTCTTTGTCCATTTTTTCCATTTTGTTTTACCTATTTTTGTTGCTTTGTAATAACCCTTTTGTGTAGTAGAAAGTTTACTCATTGCCTGACATATGTATTAAATATATATATTTCCTATTTGTAGTTTAACTTTTACTTTATTTTGTCATCATCATTGTTGTTATTTTGCTCCCAATTTTAAAATTTTACTGTCTTTATAAGTCTGTCAGTCTTTTATCATTTTCATGATAAATATATCAGCCTTTTTATTTTTAGTTTTCATAAAATGTGTAAAAAAGGCTTTCCTCACCCTGAGATTATAAAAAAGTTCACTCATATTTTATTTGAGTATTTTTATGCCTGCACTTTTTACATTCTGATCTTTGACTTGGTGTGGACAGTAAGTTCAAGGAGGGTAATTGCCTCCATATCTTCAGGGCCTAGTTATCAGGTGATGCATGAGTGCGTTTAGCAGACAAATTTAAATTGTCTTTGGAAAATGAACTCCATAGTGGCATGAAAGGTTTAGAGAAATTCTATCTCTATATTTCTGCAAAAAATTTCTACATGACAAAAAAGTGGACTCTAGGAGTGTGGAAGGTGGAATAAACTATTGGTAGTTTGGGGAGGAGGAACCTCATCATCACAAACACTTTGTACCTCACCAGTCAAGGACTGTCTACAAGCTCTAATGTCTTATGATTTCCTAAGCACAGTGCCAAAAACTCCTGGGGAGTTCCTCAGCAATTGCATAAATGGTGAAGATACCACCACCAGCTTGAAACTAGGGCTACTATTCTTATTTCCAAAATTTATGGCTCCTTTTTTGGATGTGCATTGATGTAAAACATTTGTGTAGAGAAATAAGAAGCAAAAGCTAAAATGTAACCACTCCCTCCTCAGTCCTTCATCTTGGAGACTGGGTCACTTCTGTGGTGGGAATTAGGCTGTTTCCTTCTTTGGATGTTTACTTCCAGTAATTTAGACATATTTGTGTATCTTAAAGGGGAAAAGTCAGGCTATTCATTGTCCCAGGGAGACTTGGAGATTGGTGTTCTGCCATACAAACTGGTTTTAGGACCCGGGATATTACTCAGGCATAGAAGTCAAGGCACAGCTGTTAATTATGTTTTCTCTTCCATCTGTACTCAAATTGTGGAAGGACCCAAGACCTGATGATAGACTCTATGCAGCCTTAGCTGGCCTGAACAAAGAAGAGAGCTTTACTTTCCTCCCCGTTTTCTCCAGTTTCACGGGCATTCTAGGAGTTGCATAATAATCTTCTTCGCTTACGTTTAACCTCTTTTTTGTTGTTTTTGTTATAGATTCCATGGTTTTTCTTCTCCCAATTTTTCAAAGAAGTAAACATCTCAATATTCCTTGTATTTCAGCCTGTGTTGCTCTTAGAAGTACCATAGAATACTTTCTGGAGGCAAGATATATCTGGATTACATGGAGGAAAAGAGCAAATTGTCATTTAGATATACAACTGTGAAATAGGCAGTAAAGTATGAATATTTTGTTCAGGGTTAAAAGGTTGACAGTATGTTATATAATGATTTTCAAAAGTGCACAGTCTGTCCAGAATTCTCACTTATTCCTTCTAGTGGGTCTATACAAGATTGTAGGCTTCCTGAAGTTCTTAGCAAGTGTATCACTAGCTATTTTGCAGGCATTATGGAGAGCCCTGGAGTGAAGGGGTGTGGAGTCACCAACGTAAGCCAATTGTAATCAATGTTTTGTAATTAATGCAGGGACATGTTTCTCCATTCTATTTAGTATTGATGGGGGATCATGCTTAGTACATGGAGAGATGGATGATCTCTCAATATCTCAAATATAGAGATGGATGACTTGGTTCTCTTGGAGGTATCATAGATATTTCTAATTTCCAGTTATGCCCTTGGCTTTACAAAGCTGTATATCCTTGTAGGCTTTACTATGAGGTGACGTGAAACGACAGCAAAATTCATCACCTTGCTAGACAGCATTGCCATTATCTCATGGCAGTAACTAAGCGTTACACTTAGTCTCTTAATTTCCCGCATATTTCTTTTATTGTGAATCACCAACTTATATTGGCTCTACTTCCAAAACTTACATGGTATCCACCTACTCCTTTCTACCCCACTGCCATCACCTTAGTTCAAAACTCCATCCTGTCTCACCTGGACATTGCCACAGCCTCTGTTTTGTCTTCTTAATTTCATACTCAATCCTTTACAATCCCTTCTTCACCCAGCTGTTGTCGTGAGTGGTCTTTCAAAAACCTAAAGCAGACCACATCATCCTCCTGCTTAAAACCTTCAATGATGTCTTATTGCTCTTTGAATAAAACTAAACCCTGTACATTGGCTTCTAGGTCCCAGATGATCTGGCTCCTGTATCCCTCTGTAATCTCACTTGATACTTCCTTCTGCCTTTCTCATGGCACCCCAGCCACACTGACCTCTGTGCTGGCCCTCTGAACCACCAGGCCCTTTTGTGCCACAAGGCTTATCCCCTCAGCCTGCAATGCACTACCCCAGCTCTTTGTGTGCTAGTGTTATCCCTCACTTCACTTTTAGCTCAGTGACGCCTACTCAGAGAAGTTTTCTCTGACCACTCAATGTAAATCGGCCACACCTAGTGACTATCACATCTCCTTATTTCCTTCATAGAACCCTATTTCCTTCATAGCACTTAGGATTTGTATGCATATCTTAAAATTTTATTTAATTGCTTAATTCCTTTCTCCTCTACCAGAGTGTAAACTCATGAGGGCAGGAACTTGTCTGTCTTACTCATGCACTGTTCCTAATGCTTAGTAAAGTGTGTGGCACATAGTGGCTCAATGATTGAATGAATGAATGAATGAGTTCAAATGTGTTTTATTTCATCAGTGAAATTTGCTGAATGAGCAAGGAAAAGCAATAATAAAATGATACTTAGCTAGACTTGATGAGGAAGTGATGTGGAGGAGTGGAAAGACTTGTAGATAAAGACTCAGGAGATCTTATTTTTAGTATCGACTCCATCACTAACAAGAATTAGGACCTCTCTGTGCTGTATTTTCTGCATCTGTAAAATAGTTTCTGGGGTGTCCTCAAGCTCTGGTGTATATAGCATTATTTAGGTACCTTGGAAGAGACTTATCTGTTGTAAGGTGTTCCTAAGCTTTTGCAAAGTAGATACCATTAGAATTTTATGGCAGCCAGTTAATGATCTTTAGAATTGGGTGTTCTTTACAAGAATTGAGAAGTGTAATACCAAGGCTGTGACTCAGGATTTCCAAATATTACTTCTAACCTCAATCCTTTAGTGATTGATAGTAAGAAGGGGACATCTGCCTGTACTATGAAAGGATCCTGAGGAATGAGAGTTATACATACTAAGTGGAAATAGAAGGATTGCCTAGAAGTTTACCTGTCTTTTTGGTTAGCCTCCTAAATGCACACCTAGAGAGTTTTGAACAAATTTCTTAAAGCAAAACTCTTTGAAATAATTCAGAATCCTTTTTTATATGTGTACTGTGGATTTTGAATGCAAAAAAGATACACTCTCTTCTAGCATTCTTCAAAGAGTCACATCTTATTATCTCTAAAGGGTATATTAGAGTAAGATTTTAGAAATTCTTAGAGATCCTTGCATTGCCAATTTCAAAACTTCATGAATTTCTTGAAGATAAATCAAATTGATAGTATATAATTTCATACACTCTTGTAGTATTACCAATCTAGACATTTTATGATGATTGGGAAGGGATTCTTGCATTATGTATAAACCATGTCCCAAATATTTAGTTGCCCATTCTTTGTTGATCATCCATTACCCTATATCTATTAATGTTTCCCCTAAGCTAATACATTATTAAATAACTAAAATTAGCTTTAATGCTTATTATAATGTTAATTAGAGGCATCCTAATGTCTCAAAGCAGACTGCAGTCTCCAGATTAGGTCTTAACAAAATCAATGGCAATTCTGTTGTTCCCATTTAATGGAAGAAGAAATCGAGGCAAAGAGAAGGTATATGACTTCGTCCATGTCCCCGAAGAATGTAATAATAGAGTGGGAACAAGAAGTTAGGGCAACCAGAGCTTAACTCTTGTTACAGCCATCAGCCTGAGTGACTGAGTCACTCCTACTGGACTTCAGATATTTTACACTCATGCAGTAAGGAATTAATTCTTTGGCATCATAGATTTGTGGTCTTTTGTTCAGTAAGAGAGAAAAACAAACATGGGAACAAATTCTTGCAGAGATTTACTGGAATAATAATAATAATTTTAAAAACAGCATTGAGAAGGATAGGCAGAGAAGGGAGCCATGAGGGGCAGGAAATGGAGTAAGCAATGGTAATCCTGCTTCAAGCAGTCATGATTAATCTTGGAGAAATGGAGGTCCAGAAAGGATGGTTAAAAAAAGAAGTAGAGGAAGGTGAAGTAAGGCCTGAGAGGGGACATGAAGTCTTCTTACAGAGTATGTTTGGAATTTCTGGGTGATAGTGAAAGAGGTTCTCTACTTGCATGTACCCCTCAAATGCATATACACCCTTCTGAACCATCTGGTGGCCACTTTACCTGTTATGTACTTATTCCAGTGTGGTTTTGCTTCCTCAGCTGGTTGATGCATACCCACCTAGTTCTAGGCTTGTTCTGACGTAGATGTCAAATTCATGTTGAACTACAGACAAGATAAAAGTCTCTAAGAAGGGCAAAAGCTAAAATAACATTTATTGGGTCCTTTGGAGGTAAGACAGCCACTTTAAATAACTCTGTCTATTTAAGAAAAAACTACTTTGCACCAATTAGAATGTCTGTTATTATAAAAAGAGATCTAAAAGAAAATAACAAGTGTTGGTGAGGATGTGGGGAAATTGGAATCCTTGTGCACTGCTGGTGGGAGTGTAAAATGGTGCAGCTACTGTGGAAAAAGTTATAGTGGTTCCTTAAAAAACTAAACATGGAAAATTGCCATATGATCCAGCAATTCCGCTTCTGGGTGTACTCAAAAGAATCGAAAGCAGGAATTTGAATGGATATTTGTATTTACCCAACTTCATATCAGCATTACTCACAGTAGCCAAAAGGAGAAAGCAACCCAATTGTCCACTAACAGATGCATGGATAAACAAAATGTAGTATACAATAGAACATTATTAAGTCTTAAAAAGAAAGTAAATTCGGACAGCTGCAACAATTTGGATGAAACTTGAAAACATATTAAATAAAATAAGCCAGTCAGAAGAGGATAAATACTCTATGATTCCACTTACATGAGTTACTTAGAGGAGTGAAATTCAGAGGCAGAAAATAGAAGATGGGTACCTGGGGTTAGGGGGTGGGGTATGGGGAGTTGTTGTTTAATGGGTACAGAGTTTCAGTTTGGGAAGACAAAAAGTTTTGGAGGTGGATGGTGGTGATGGTTACACAACAATGTGAATACTTAACACCACTGCATAGTACACTTTTAAAAAGAGCTACAATGGTAATTTACGTGTATTTTATCACATTAAAAAATTAAAAAAACAGAAAAAACTAAAAGGGGCTTGTATAGAGGGGCTATTTATCTTTCTCTCCCTTTTAGGCTCTACATCTGATTGCCTTCATAGTGGCAAGGACTAGTCTACTTACTAGCAGGGTAATGATAAAGTACAGTGAGAGATATTTTGAGAATGGGAGTTATTTAATTTTACGTCTGCATAGTGATCTTGCTCCAGGCATTCAATTGCCATTTATATTATGGCAAAAATGGCCTCATAGTATACTCAGAATTCGTCACAATTCTCAAGCCCATCATGATATTCATCACCCTTGCTCTGACAAAATCTACCTTTACAATAAATATTATTAGAGAAAGTAGTGATTTTTATATCTTTTGTTTCTTTTTTCTTTTTTTCCCTCTTCCATCTGCCAACAAAAGAGTTGTCAAAAGTAATGTTTATAATAATTTAATGGATTATTTGCTTATTAGGTATTAATTATTCTGCTGTGCCTACGGTCCATGTTGGTGCTTTGCTGCTAGAACAGTGATTCTGATCTCAATTAGATTATGTCTCTCTCCTTTACCTCCCCATAAATCATTCCGGCAAACTGAAATTAACAGCTACTGGAGCGCATTAATAATCTGCCTCACACATTGGAAAATGCATTAGCCGGAACCCTCCCATCACTCTGTTAAGCACATCATTTTGTTTATGAAATATAAACATTTCATGGAAGAGCTCTCCCACATTTCTCTGGGCCTGTGACAGCTGAAATGATTGCACACAATTGCCAGTCAGTCATGCGCCCAAATAAAGTTTGTTTAAAATCATGGTTCTGTGACTGCCCCATTTTCTCAGGCATTTAAAAACCTACATTTAAAAAAAAATCCCTGTGGTCATGAAAATAATAATAATATCTTTAATATGACACTTCACATATGTACAGTCCTTTGCACAGTTTACAAAGTGCTTTCCCTTTGGTTATGCTTGTGAGATAGCGGGATGTTATTATTATTCACATTTTGTTTCCCCCCATAGGGAAACTAAGGCTGAGAGGTGATTTGATCAAGGTCATACAGCAAGTGGTGGAAGGACGACTAGAATCCAGGATTTGCATGTAAGTTGTATGTTCTCTTCAATGCTCTACATTCTCTACTATAAACCACACTCTTGGTATATGTATGCACATTCCGTTTCTGTATGTTAAATGCATAAGACATTCAAGTGTCCTTCCTAGAGAGATAACTGCTCTGTCTTTATTCTTACAGATCAGAGAGCAAAACCGAGAAAAGTCAGAGGTAAATGGATCATTTTCATTATTTTAATTCATTGTGCCTACTCATTGTGTCAATTGTACTGTGCTGCACAATTTAGTGATGACGTACACAGGCAGAGTAAAATGGAGATTTGACACATTATCAACAGCATTTTTTTATTCCTGAATAGATAGCCTTTCTGCATGATGCAAGCACTCAAACACTCCTCCTTCCTCAACAGCAAATATCTTGGTCTTAATTTACTTTGGTGGCAGAAAAAGTCAGATGGCAGCAAAGCTGATCTGTGTTTTTTGTTGTAATGCCTAAGCAGTCTTTACCCTGAAGTTAAACTGATTACTACTCTACTGGTATCTCAGATCGTCAGAAATATTGACTGTAGCATGTTTGGTCTGATGTAATTGTGGCAGGTAAACAACAGCCTCAGCTATCTAAGGGAAGAAACAAAAATATAGATTTGTTGGAATTCGTAAAAGATTTATTGACAACCTAAACTTTAGAAATATTTGCATGAAAAGCCTCCTTGTTATTATTTCCTATTGTTTCTATCCTCCTGATTGGTCTTAAAAATGTCACTTTCTAACTGTGTGGTTAACATTTCCAAATTTCAGTTTATTTATCTAAAAAGTAAGAATAGACGCACATGCTCTGCCTATTTCAGACTTATTATGAAGATTAAATGGGGAAATGTATGTGAAAATTCATTGAAACCAGAAAATTATTCAGAATTATATATCAATTTTATCAATTATGTTGTGGGCAAACAGTTTCTTGAAAAGATTCTTGAGAGGTGTATTTTTTTTTTTCCTAAGGAGTTCAGAGAGCTGAAAACAACATGCGGCATCTTGACTGATTTTTGACTGATGACTACAGGCACTTTTTTCCCTGTGTCCCCACCCTCCCAAAGACTTACTCAGTTTTTTGTTGAGACAAGAACTGAAATGTCTTTTATTTGGCTTTTACTTTTATAGTTTTATGAGTATATTTTAATAGCTAGCAATCCATATGATTAAGGCTGAATACTAATTTTAAAACGTCAAAATTTGTTCATTTTAGACCATAAGAACTTTGAGAACATAGCTGGTATCTTTGTGATCACAGTTCCTAGCTCAGTGTTTGTTCTGCAGAAGGCATGTAATGAATATTTGTTGCATGAATCAAAAACTGTCATACATTTCAATCATGCTTCCATTGCACCAAACATTTTCCTATCCTCCTCATTTATGATGCTTTCAGCTTAGGCTTCAGGGTCATAAGAAAAAAAAAAGAGAGAGAGAGAGAGAGAGAGAGAAACCCCAGTCTCATCAGGCTATATTCAAACCAAAACTCATATGTCAGCCTCATTCACAAGTTTCGTCTGGTAATGTCTTTGTTTGTTTCGAATAAGTTTGCTCCCAAAAGAATGTGGATTTGTTATAATGATGATATTCAAGTGGCTGTGCAAAAGCTTTATGATCACACCTTGTATAAACATCTTGTAAGTATGTCTTTTTATAAGTGTATTACATAAGAATTTTCATCAAGGGAAAGAAATACTATGCAGCTAAGAGTCACAATGAATTGAACTTTATTTTTTTCAATGAACCTATTTAGACTTGATTGAAATCTGTGTGTTTGGAAATACATTTTGGAGCATGTGGAATATTATTGCCTCTTTGTCTGAAACTATAATGGTGCATTATGTGAATGCTAATTAAGCATTATCTTGTTGTTAATTATTTTCTCTGGACCCTGTAAAGAATCACCATAATGTTTTCTAGAAGTCGTTGGTGGCAAGGGATTTAAGGTCTTTCAGCTAATATTAATTTGGAAGTAAATAATTACTTTTAGAATGATGCATGAAATTAAGTAGTTTTTGCACAATCTATGCTACTCTTCAAGCAATCTTTAAAGAGTGCAATATAATAAAGCAATAATTGAATTGGTAATATATTTGTCATTCCTGTTAAAAGCCATTTCCTCAGTCCAGCAATAGGAGAGGATCATTTGGCAAGTGGGCATTAAGTATGCGTGATACATACCATATTGCACAGTACTGCTGAGTAGCTTTTGGGGAAGCAGCTTCTATGCATGTGTAATAACCAATCTTTAAATGTCAAAGTTGCAGCCATTTTAAGAAAGAAATCCATATTTTGGACTAAGTGTCTTTTCAGATAACCAAGCTATTTGAAAGCTTTACTACGGGTTAAAAAAAATAGAGGGAAAAAAACCAGATCCCTATAAACTTTGATGTATTTATTTTTGCATTTCCATAACTTGATAATGACCAAACCAAACTTCCCAGAAAACTGAAAGCAAAATTGTGCTCTGAGCTGAGACCTGGTGATTCTTGCCTCACTCTGAAGGAAATCTTCAGTTTAGTTATAAATCCCTGAAAATCAGGTTTTATAATGGAAATGCTGAGAGGCTGTCTGCCATTTTAACAGCTAGAGCTAAGACTGCTTTGAAAGGGTATACATGCATATGATATGCATATATCAGGAGATTATACCTATCTTAAGGGTGATAAAACATGATAGCACTCATAAAAATTAGTTTCATATATTGTACATTGAATAAACTTTACTTGTTCCTCTTTGGTTTTCTCTTTAGATCCACTTACCACCAGAGAGGAAACAAATACTATGCTCTTTTTTTGCACCCAGGAGTAAAACTCGATGCAGCCCAGTGCCAGCTCTCCTGGCTTATTTTGTTTCATGAAGCACTTCATTAGATACCCAGCAAAATCTGCATGGACTAGGACCCAGCTCTTTTTACCTTTGTTTTATTAAACAATAATTGCTTGGGATTTTATGAATGAAATCTTGCATAGTTTTTATTCGTGTACATTCAGGGCAAACCCATATACAATACGGCTCACATGTGTGGCAGATTTATGCGCACTACATTGAAAGAGGAGGGCAGTCCAGTGACAGAGGCTATTGACTCTGTGTGGCCAGGAAACTTCACATGGGAAGAGTATTTGACTTTCAAATGGATCACCTCTCATTGCCCCACAACATGACTACTGTTTCCTTCTGTTTTCAAATTTTATTTAATATTACAGAAAAAGATTAACTGTATTTTGAAATAAAAAAGAATTAAGAACCTAGTGAAGAAATGGTTTTCTTCTATAAAGATGGGCAAGGAAAAGAAGAAAAACCTTATTGATTCTTATTTCTAGTGCATCTCTTGTCCTATTCAGGAGAGGCAATAAATCTTTGCTCCCCAAATGAACAGCAAAGGGGAAAAAAATAATGTTAGGAGTGCCTACAACTTGTCAAATCAAATGTTAGTGAATCATGTCTTTGGAGGAAATGGTTTGCTGGGGAAGAGTTTTTTTCTTTCTCTCTCTTTTTCTATCATTCTTGCTGCAAGGGGCTGCAGGATGACAATCATCATGGTTATGTTGCTCATGAACACTGTATTTCACCCCCTCCTTGTTCTTCAACATAGAGACAAACAATGCTTGGGGATTACTGACAAGTGAGTTCTTGGAGGAGTTAGGGATAGACACAGTGAATAATGCCTGCCCTGTGATAGCGGCTGTGTACCACATGTCTTCATGTCTTCAAAATCTACTTGCAGCTAGAATCTTGTGCTTTCTGAGAAGAAAACAAAGCCATAATTGTAATTGATATTTTTACCCCTTCATTACTTCACGAACATTATCTTCATTAACTCACTAACAGAACCCATTACTTTGAATGATCAAGGTATAGGGGCTTATATGCTTTGAAATTCGATTTTTCCATTTCCTTGCAATGTAGACAGCCTATTTTATTTTTTCATAAAGAAAAGGATGCCCGAAAGTGAATGATGGATGAATCTTAAATGGCTGGTGTCCAGTTTGAAAAAGCACCTGGAGGTTGGGCTGCTTCGCTGCATTTATACAGATCTTTATTATTACTTAACATTCATACAGCATTTGGTATTTGCAAAGGGTTTCGCACTCATTTTTATAAGCTATTCTTCATACCAATCCTGAGAGGCAGGTTCATTTTCCTCAATATGTGGTTGAGAAGAGTTGGCAGAAGGATATTTCACATCTTGCCTTGAGGCCCCTGCAATTCTAAACACTGCAGCTGGGATTAGAGTACTCTAAGCCATGTATTACTAGGGTGTATTGGTGAGTGTTTATTTTCATAGCTGAATTTGCTTATAAAGAACATTTTAATTTTGCTAAGGCACAGTTGCTATGAAAGGCTGATAAAGTGAATATTATGCTGTGACAGAGAAAGGCATCATTTATCTGGAATATTTAATGATCTCAGATATTTAATACTCTACAGGGTGTTTTTAAGAAAGAATACTGGGAGACGGTCTAACAAATAGGTTTTAAAGGATATCACACTTCTCTGTCTCCCTTTTTTCCACCTCCCTTCTTTCTTTCCCTGCTTCTTACTCGCCCATCCCTTACCTTGTGGTCTGAGTCAAATTATTAATTCCTCATTTGTGAAATGTTGCTGTGATGTCCTCCCCGAGATGGCACTTGTAAAATGCCTGGTAGATTTGTTGGTACACAGTAAATCAGCATATCTAAATAAATTGGTGATATTATATGTGTCACGATCAATGTTGTTGTTGTTGTTGGTTGACATCTCTGGTCCAAAACGGGCTTTAAGCAACTCTATGTACCCAAGATTTACACAGAATAAAAGGGAGGACTAGATATTAATTCTGATGGCTTAGGTATATTAGACTGATTGGTTTATCAGCCTTTCTTCTCTGGAAGCCATGCTTTAGTAAAATTAAAATGTTCTTTATAAGTAAATTCAGCTATGAAAACAAGCACTTGCCAATATGCCTTAATTATACTTGGCTTAGAGTACTTTATTCCCAGCTGCGGGCATATATATCTTGATGGTTTTGGTATATCTGTTTCAATTATCTGGATGACTTAGGCAAAATCACCATTAAAAGTTTACCTTCATTAATTTATTTTGGGGGTGGAACTTATTTGCTAGAGAGAGAAAAGCTGAATTGCCTTTGGTGTTACGGAGTAATGAACAAAGTCCGGATGTGAGGCAAGCATCCTATATGTGTGGCTTCTCACACGTCCAGTGCTTTTTTGTCTATACATTCAGCATAAATTTTATTAAGTGGCCATTGATCAGTACTTACTTTTCCTTCTCCCAGTCCTCACTGTAGCAGGAAGCAGTTGAGAAATGACCTACAATTTATGATGCTTTATCAATGTTTTTACTCACTATGGGGAAAAGTGTGGGGAACATATTTCATGATGAAGTGGGTTTCTAGTTAACAGGACAAAATGAAAGCAAAGCCATAGATCAGTGTAATATGTCAAATATGGAAAGGATTCAATTTATTGTAAATAATACCCAAGTTGCAAAAGGAATACAGCAACAGAAATCAGTGTATTCTATATGTGAAAAAAGGGAAAATTACAAGTAAAAGGTAATAGGCTTCGTTTATCCCTTGACAGAAATTCATATTGTTTGTGCCTGTCCCCTCTGGGTGATCAAGGACTCTATGTATCTTTGGGATTTTAGAAGTGGGGGCAAACATATTAGACTTCCCATGGCAAAGGTAAAATAACCGGCAGCTTTAAATTCAAAACATTTTGCTGCTGATATATGAAGGTACATCAGGCGATATTCTACCGCTTAAGAAGTGTTTCTCAAAGTGGTTTCAAGTCTGTGCACTGGAGCCATCCAAGGTGCTTATTTAGGAAATAAAAAAAAAGTTCCCTGATTCACCAATAGAATTGTGAAATCCAAATCTATGAGGTTTGGGAACTGAAAATCTACATTGTAAACATCCTAGGTAATTCTGATTAAAAAAAAAAACAAGCAAACAAACAAAACCCCAGGACACTCAGTTAAATCTGAATTTCAAATAAACAATATTTTAAAAGTATAAATATTTCCTATTTAATATTTGAAAATACTTATACTGAAAAACCATTTGTTTTTACCTAAAATTCAAATTGAACTGAGCATTCTGTCTTTTATTTGACGGTCTATTTTATACACATTGAAGTTTAAGAAACACTGACTTAAGGGATATAGTCAAGCACTCTGAACCAGTGCAAAGCTCTGGCCCTAGCTAAAACTTTTTAGGAGGTGAGAGGTGGCAGTACTTTTGCTGCTCTGACTCTGAATGACTAAGAAGAGCTTTGTAAATTACTAAGATTGCAAACATGGGCAAAAAATCCATCCTGTTTTACAAGGTAAGTGTTTTCCCACAGGAAAAACAACTTCAGGAAATCTGAGTGTTATCTGCACACACACCATTATCGTTTTAAAGCTTGTTCTTTCAGGGGGATGATGAAGGAAGGGGACAAACAGGCATGTCCTAGATGAATCTTTTCATTCATTTTTGGGAATCTATTATGAATTTCTAAATATTGGGCCACACAATTGCTACCTCTTTGTTCAGTTCTACACACTTTAGGAAAGCAAAGATAATTACTTGGTAAATTTAGGCTATCCCTTTGAAAGGAAAGCTTTTTGGAGTTCTTTGCACAAGTTCTAATGTCTTTTAGAGGAGAATCAGGTTAAATCGTTTTTATATTATAACAGTGCAAAGACTCTTTCAGGCCAAAAGACATGCAGAATTATGAGAAAGTGATACCCTGAGATATCTATGGCCATGGGATGTGCTTTCTTTCCAAGGGGCTGCTGAAGCGTGCCTCTGTAGGAGTGAGAGCATCTTTTCACCATACATGCTATATGTATGTGCTTGAAAACACACTGCATTAACATATTGGAGGGTCTGGTAAAGTCCGATCCATTGTGAGCCCAAGAGCATTGATAGAAAGAACACTCTTTCTTTCAACTTCATTTTACTATAGTTTCTTTCCAGCTGAAGTTAAGGGCTTTCATTGATTTTGACTGGCTGGGAGCATATTTCTAACTTACATCTCCTGAGTTTATAATTCACTGCAAAGCAGCAGATAAAGTGGAAGCAAACAGAGCCCGCTGGAGAAACCCTCAGCATTAATAATATACTGTTTACCTTAATGAAAGCATTATCAGAGAGAGGAGGACCAGACTCTTGTTATTGTTAAACAGAAGTGGTCTGAAACCTAAAGGAATATTTGCTGCTGCATGTTCTGTCTGAAGCTTTCCTAAATAATTTCAATTCTATTGACTTTTTTGGCCTTTTAACCAGGCCATCAACTTTCTAGACAGCTTTGCCTCCATTTCTAGAAATCCATAGCCTGTGGAAAGAGCGAGTGGTTCAAGATATTTTATAAACCTTACTTCATTAATCCTTATCACACCCTTGAGAGTTAAAATGTCTGTAAGTCCTAATGGCCCCCAGTGTTCATATATAAAGAACGAGGTACAGAGAAGTTATAAACTACTTCAAAGCAGAGAGTTTTCTGAGAAACTAACACTCTTTATATGTTTATCTGTGATTATTAATTATAAGCATTGGGTGACTCTAGTACTAGGTGACCTATGAACAAATTTAGACTGCTCTTTCAATGAGAGAATGTATTACGAGATTTCTTTAAAATCCATATCCCTGTCATGTTAGGCTGATGCACAAAAACCAAGGTCCTCTCTCAATATTGCCTAATTACTTTGAGTTTCTTAGACATAGGCAATACACCAATATAAGATGTTTATGCAGGAACTTCAGTGCAACAAATGCTTGTAGGCACAAATCTGCTGTCTGAATCTTTCTTGGTCTCATCCAAGGGGTTTTAGTACCTGAATGATCAATCAGTATGCAATCTTTTCTATTAGATGGATCCACTGGTAGCATGGCAAATCTTGTGTGGGTTGGAACAGTTATCATTCCTGTATAATACTTTTGCCAAATCTCAGACCTTGGGTCCAAACCCAGCCTTCTACCCCTTCATCTAGAATTTTTAATTAATTATTTATTTTTACCTCTTGATTTAAAGGTTGTAAATGAAATAGATTGGATGTTGGAACTGGGAAAAGGACTGGAAACAGAGAGGGATGTATGAACATACTTGAATGAAGTGGGGCATGGAGACTTATATTCCTGGAGGTTTTTGCAGTGCACTTGTCTCACAGCCAGGGATAGTTTAAGTGGAGATATATGTGTTGGCAACAGAGGACTTTTACTACTTACTGGTAAAATAAGAAGGGTTAATAGTTGAGTTGCAGAGAAGGTCACTAACTATAAGCTGAGTCTTCTGAACTCTGCTATGTTTATTGTCTAAGGAAGAGACCTGTGTCTATTAGACACCTTTCAGGGGAAAGTGACAGGCTGGATTAGACAGGTTTGAGAGAGAGAGGTCTAGATACAGAGAAATGGAGAAGGCAGGTTGTGTGCAGCCCCAGCTAGATTTATTTTAGCTCTTATAAATAAAAACATGAGTAGAGCCTCTCCACAGAATTATTTACAGAAGTATTTTAAGCTATGGGCCCTTTCCAGGCTAAGCACTAAATGCTAAAGTTTATGATGTAGAATGACTTTGGCTACTGTGGCCCCAATTTGGACAAATCTGTCATTAACACCGGCATGGCAGTTATTTTACTGGGGGTGACAGATTGTGAGGTAGGGAGAGTAATTCAGACTATTACCCAGGTGAAGGCATGAAAGCTCAGTGATATATGAAGACCACTTAAATTCATTGTATCTTGTACATCACATCTTTGATAGATTATAGCTGTGGCATTAAAATGGAAATGGTTTCTCTGAGGCCTGACAGGGGCTGGGGTGACCTGTGACCCCCCTCTGAGGAATGTGACTGACCGAATTATCAGTTAAGAGAAAAATCTACAGGGAATAGACTCACAGTGGTGGCGAATCCACCATGAATATATATCTATATTTTTTAAACCTTTGGTTTGATTGAAAGCTTCGGTACTCAAACCCTGTTTCCACCTCCTCGCCTGTGCCATCCTCTGACACTCCCTCCCCAGCCCATCCTAACTTCCTCAGCTCAGATTTCATATTGGCAAGGCCCCTCATATTGATTGAAAAATTGTTATTAGAGATAGTAGGCCTCCTGCACACTGTCTACTGATTTAATTTGGAAAACATTTAATTTTATGAAGCGGTAAATGATGGTGCCACGCTCCCCTGTGTTAGGGAGCAGCTGGTTCTTTACCTACTCACCCGCCCAAGTCCCAGGTGTCCTCCTGGCAACCATGTGCTCCCTTCCCCTTTGCTTAACAAGTTATTTCAATTTCTAAACGAAGGCTGAACAAGAGAAAGACAACATGCAAATTGAGATCCCAGCCGCCATTCACACGTGAAAAAGTTCCCCTGGAATTCCCTCAACTCAGCCCCCCACCCCCCTGCATCTGTCATGAAAAAAACAGAGCCCTTGTTCTCCTCAGATTGTTTTCACCAATGACCTGACACCACCATCTATAATTAATTACATCATTTACATTAGACTATTGACTAAACAAATACATAAATCATAGGCAGAGTCAATAGGTGCAGACATATTTAATCATGTTCTAAATAATGATTACTGCTCCCATAATGCAATAATTATTTTCAGCAGCTGACTTGAATTAATCTTCTGTCAGTGTGCCATCTGAAAAAAAAAAGAGACGAAGATGAAGAAGGCAGCACCGATGATGGAGGAGCTGTTCTTTTTCTCTCTTAGTTTCCCTTCTTTTCATTCTTCCCCGCAGGCTCCCTCGGTTCCCCCTTTCTCCTCTCATGACTCCTTCTCTACTTCTCATTGTTTTTTCCTCCACTTTTCATGTTCTTCTTTGTCTTCCTCCTGTATTCCTGCCTGTTTCATACTTGTTCTTTTTGCCACCTGTCTCTGCTTCTTTCTCTATCTCTCAACGTGTAACTTCCCATTCTTCTTCCAAGCTAGACGGTGCTCCGGTGCTCTGGGGATGCAGCTAGTCTCTCTTTGCAGCCCCCACCCTGTGCCCCAAGCCTCCACCCCACCTCCATCTTGCCCTCACCTCATTTCTAAATCTCTATGGACAGTTTAAATGTTAAAGATTCAAAGAAGCAGATTTCTTAATAACTTGCCCAGATTAGATTTTCTTTCTCTTCTGTTTGACAGGTTTTTCTAAATCATTTTCCATTTTGGAATGGCAAATTGATTAAAGAGGTGGAGTAGTTAGAACATGGGGGTACTCTACAAACATAATACTCATAATTTATAGACTAATTTAGTGTTTGTCATCAGAGAGAAGAGAATGAATCAGTGTTTATAGGTGTACATTTTTTTTCTAACTTAGAAATGGAGTCTTCTCCTTGAAATGTTTTGTTTGTGACTAAGCATACCATAGTTGGGTGCTTTGCAAATAATAGAATGTCTCCTATTCTCCTTCACATCTGGCTATCAATAGGTAAGGCCAATTACTAAGAAGTTACAGCTTGAAGGAAAGACATCATGCTATAATTTCTTTAAATACCATTTATTTGAAGTATTAATTTTAAGAGACATTGTTAAAGGTAAATACAGAATAAAATTTTATACACCATCTTGTCCTTAGCACCATCCTTTGGCTTTTTGGTAAGTTTATTGTTACAATAAGAGGAAAATTCATTTTGGGTCAAATAATACAAAAGGCTTGGAAATGCTTGCTCCCTGTAGCTACTTTTAATGTTCTTTCGGGAAAGCTTTTCTGCAATGACCTTTTTAATTAATGCTTGTCCTCAGGGATTTGAGGCAAAAATATTACTGGATCACATACCCGTGAAATGGGGATACATTTCTTAACCTCTTTTCTCTATTCTCTTCCAAAAGGGTAAGCCATTTGTGATCCTGTGAACATTCACCCTACGATGGCTCATGTGATGTGCCTGGTTGACCAGCCCCTTTTATCCTTTAAGCAATGACATACTTTCTGTTTGTTTAAACACACTTGCTAATTCAAGTGCCATGTAGCAGGACTGTGATTGGAATTTGTCCTGATTAGCAGTATAAGAGAAGACTGCCTTGGCAAGGAATATTTAGAATCACAGGTAATAGAATATTCATTCATTCAAATACATTTACCAAGTGCTTATCTATGTCAGGTACTGTGCCAGGTACTGGTTATCCAAGATAATCATCAATTCATACTTATTGTTAAAGCTTCCTTTCTAAATTCCTGGCTAAATTGCATACAGGTGGCTTTAAACACACAGAATTATTTTTAGAATAGTACATGATACAATTGTAGTTACCGAATATGCCAGCTAGCATGAACTTTTTTGGTGTCAAAATGAGCCAGGTATGTTCCAAACAGTTCAACAAGAGTGTGAGACTAATGTGAAACTCAGTGAAAAATATCTGCAAAGGATAATTATGGGGCTAGACTTTTCCCTATTTACCTGTTGTTCTCCAGTGAAAAAGTCAAAGAGGGTCAAAAGTTGGGTAAGAGGGAGATAGTTAAACAAGAATCCTATTACAGAGAAAGAGGGAGAGAGTGTTTATAGTAAGAATAAGTCTCACAGTCTGCAGACCAAAAACACAATGCATTGTGAAAATCTTGCCTTGAACAGATTTAGACCCCCAAATGCAAATACTATTTTGTAATTTCTCCAAGGAACAAGGTAAATGATATATATAACTTACATGAATTACTTGTAATCTTAAGATGTCTTTTATACTGTTTATTTATTAAAAACAGCAAATATTTTAGTAAGAAAAGTAACACTTGTAAAGCAAGATGTGGTTTTGTTATGTGAAAAAATGGAAACAATCTACTTCACAGGGATGTTGTGATATTTAAATGGCAACATATTTCTAAATATGCATTGTACTTGGCAATAGGCCTTGTCCATTCTAAGTTGTCATCAAATTAACTCTGATACTGTTATTACAGAATGATCAAGTGTAGGGTCTTAGGGCAATTGTAATTGAAGGATAGATAGGTCCTACAGTTTTGAGTAGAATAAACATTTGTATGGTTCCGATCCACCCTCAAGATATTTTTTCAAACCTATAACTCTGCTGTTAATGACTGGGTCTTTGGTTAGCTACCAAACTCATTCATTCAGAAAGCTATGCATATTCTATGTGTTGAGGAACCTCACATTCCAGGAAAGGAGATGAATGTACAGTTTTCATACAATTTTGAAGTGTAATATAATATTCAATAATCCTTTGTTTCTAAAATGAATGGTATTTACTGTCTCTATAGTGGTACTGTATAGTGCTCGGATTGAGTACACTATTAAACTAGATTTACTTATTTATTTAAATTTAAAAAATAGATTTAGGAGGTAAAGTACAGTTTTGTTACATGGATATGTTGTGTAGTGGTTAAGTCTGAGCTTTTAGTGTACCTACCTCCCAAATAGAATACATTGCACTCATTAAGTAATTTCTCATCCCTCCTACACTGAGGAGTCTCCAATGTCCATTATTCCACATGTTATGTCGTACACATTATTCAGCTCCTACTTATAAGTAAGATCATGTGGTGTTTGACTTTCTGTTTCTGAGTTATTTTGTTTAGGATAATGGCCTCTAGTTCCATCCACGTTGCTGCAAAAGCCATCAATTCTTTGCCTAGTCCAATGTCCTGAAGAGTTTTTCCTAGGTTTTCTTCTAGGATTTTAACAGTTTCAGATCGTATATTTAAATCTTTAACTCACCTTGAGCTAATTTTTGTGTATGTTAAGAAATATGAATCCAGTTTCACTCTTTTGCATGTGGCTCTCCCATTATCTCAGCACCATTTATTGAATAGTGTCCTTTCCCCAGTATATATCTTTGTTGACTTTGTTGAAGATGAGATGGTTGTATTTGGTTTTATTTTGGGGTTCTCTATTCTCTTCCATTACTCTATGTTTTTCATAATTTTTAAAATTTTAATAGGTTTTTGTGGAACAGGTGGTATTATTTAGATGAATAATTTCTTTAGGGGCGATTTCTGAGATTTTGGTGCACCCGTCACCAAGCAGTGTACACTGTACCCAATGTATAGTGTTTTATCCCTCACCCCCTCCTACCCTTTCCCCCGAGTCCTCAGATTCCCTTGTATCCTTATGTGTCTAGTTTATACCAATGCCATGTTGTTTTGGATACTATAGCTTTGAATAATAATTTGAAGTTAGATAACATTGATACCTCTAACTTTGTTCTTTTTGCTTAGGATTGCTTTGGCTATTTGGGTTCTTTTTTGGTTCCAAATAAATTTTAGGATTACTTTCTCTAGTTTGGTGAAGAATGAAATTGGTAATTTAATAGGAATTGCATTGAATCTGTAGATTGCTTTGGACAGTATGATCATTTTAACAATATTGATTTATTCAGTCCATGAACATGGGATGTTTTCCCATTTGTTTGTGTCATCTACTACTTATTTCATCAGTGTTCTGCAGTTCTTGTTGTAGAGGTCTTTCACTTATTTGGTTAAGTGTATTCATAGGTATTTTTTTCTTTTTGTAGCTATTGTAAATGGAATTGAGTTCTTCATTTGGTTCTCAGCTTGGGCGTTATTGGTATATAGAAATGCTACTGATTTTTGTACAATGATTTTGTATCCCTGAAACTTTACTGAAGTTATTTATCAAATCTTGAAGTCTTTTGGAGTAGACTTTAGCATTTTCTAGGTATAAGAACATATCATCAGTGAACAGAGATAATTTGACTTCCTCTTTTCCAATTTAGATGCCTTGTATTTCTTTCTTTGCTTTGCTGCTCTGGCCAGAACTTCCAGTAAGTACTACGTTGAATAGGAGGGGTGAAAGTGGACATCTTTGTCTCATTCCAGTTTTTGGAGTGAATGCTTTCAACTTTTCCTCATTCAGCATGATGTTGGCTGTGGGTCTGTCATATACAGCTCTTACAATTTTGAGGTATATTCCTTCAATGCCTAGTTTGTTGAGGGTTTTTATCATGAATGGATGCTGAATTGGTTTTTATCATGAATGGATGCAAATAATTTTTCTGCATCTATTGAGACGATCATATGTAAACCTGGTTTAGAGTCAGCACAGAGATAGATATAAACCAATTTTCTAAATAAACATGGTGGTCATTTTCTCTATTTGGTCTGTGACTCTGTGGTTTTCTCTTCTTCTCTGCTACATATATATATACGTATGTATATATACATATATACGTATATATATATGTATATATACATATATACATACATATATGTATGTGTCTATATATTACAGAAGAATATATATACACACACATATATACACATATACATATATACACATATGTGTATATATATGTGTGTGTCTGTGTATGTATATATATATATATATATATGTATGTATATATCTTCCACATAGCTGGGGAAGCCTGTTCTTTGTTGCAGTATAATCAGTGACATTATCATTTCTATGTTTGAGCATCTTCTTAAATGCAGAGAAGTTTGGGGGCAGTTCTAATAAACACTTCTTTTGGGACTCATGGTGAAGAATTTGTAGTACTTCATAACCTAGCACATCAAAGAGCTTATATAAAAATGTAGGAATTGTGCATTTTGGCTACTAGTTTGAAATATTTATAAAAGTAAATGAAAAAGGAGTCCACCTTTCCATCAGGGCCTGTGTTATTGCCTGGTTAATATTACATGATGAGTGAGCTATAAATAAACAATACATAGAAATAAAAATAGTGAATACAAAAATAATTATTGATATGAATAATAAATGAATAAAGCATAAGTTTAAGGCTCAGGTGGAATGGAACTTGATATGAAATTTAATTGAGTTTGATTTTGAGTTTAAGAAGTCTTTCAGAGCCAGTAGTTCAGATTTTAGTTTTTTTTTTAAATTTCCTTTTAATTTTAAATGAATATGCTATGGCTCCTAGCTCCTCAGTTCAGTCAACCAAAGATAACTATTACTGTAATTCCAAATAGCTACGTAGGGAAAAAATCTGGCATGAGGATGGGTCTAGACCAGGGGGATGAGATGTCCAGATGTTTCTACTTTTTAAAAAATCATCAACTGCTCAAACATTTTTATCTGTCTTTTAAGAAGTCTTTAGGGAACTGCACATTATTCCTTTTTCTCAAGGATATAGTAGGAGGGATTTTTTTTTTCTTTTTCAGTCTTGGAAGCAGCTTGATTGCACGAAGGCTTCCAGATCATTAACCAAACGGATTGTCAGAATCAAATTTTCTAGAAGAAGCTGTTTGGGAAAAAAAGAAAATTTCTAGTACTCTACCTAGTACTCATTTACTTAATTTACTGTACTCATCAAACTTAACTACCAGTTTGATGAGGCAGGCTGTAAGAGTTAACATCCCTGTTTCAGCAATGAAACTCAGAGAGACTAATGGATAATTGCTCCAGGTCATAAGTGATGGAGTCAGCCTTTAGTAGGGCGAATAGTCTCCGGAAGCCGTGCTCAGAGGCTACTCTGAAAGAAGCAAGACTGGTGGTTAAAGCAGAAGCCAAATCCTGTGGGGAGTTACAAGTTTTGTGACCAGTAAACATATGATAAGCAAAGATAGAATTCTATTCCTTCATCTCTTTTATTCCACACATTCTAACCACCTCCCTCTTCTGCTTTTTCCCATGCTTTTTTTAGGGTATACTCTGCCTCCAGCATGGGTGCTCACTCATCTCATGTTTAGAGCCTGGCATGGATTCTGGTACATGGAAGGTACTCAATAAATATTTATTTATTTCATGATGAATGAATGGTAGACATGATGCCTCTGATTGTAGGTTCAGGGGCCATATTACCTGGGTTCAAATCCTAGTGCTACCATTTTTTTGCTTTGTGTCCTTGCACAAAGTTTCCTCTGGTGCCCTATTTTCCTTATGTATAAAATGGGAATAATAAGAGACCTGAACTCAAAGAATGGTTTTGGGGGTTAATTGACATAATGTAGCAATAATGATTTAAAAGATGATGGTGATGATATGTTACTAATAGTCGAACAAGACCTTATAGTTAAAGGACCTTATTAAAAATAATGATTTTCAATGGTGGAATTTTAGGAGTTGTGAAATATTTTTTGGGGGCCAGGAAAACCTACTGAATCCCTCTAGTCAATCATATAGGACTTACTTAAACTATAGTTTTAGACAACTTGTTGTAGTTTCTCTTCTTGGAAAGCTGGCATCCATTTATTTAAGGCATGCTTATTGAGTGCCTATTATAATATTTAACACCCATTGGCTACTTACTGTGCAGTGGACAGTTTTCTATGTGCTTTACATGTATTAGATCAATTTAATGTTCTCAACAGCCTTATAAGGCAAGTACCACTATTACAAAGAAACTGAGAAATAGAGAGGTTAAGTAACTTGTTGAAGGCTACACAGCTATTATATGGTAGGCCTAGAATTCACATCTAGGCAACCCAGCTCCAGAATCAGTGCTTTTAAACCCCTACCACTGAAAAGTGTAGGTTTCAGCCCAGGGAAGGGTGTGTAGGGGTTAAACATGAATCTATTGTCTCTAGGTGCCCACCGTAGCCTTCAAAAAGAAATGAGATACTCCAGCTGAAGAGACACTCCAACAGGTCATCAACAGGATGCTCTCTCTGACTTGTATAAGGCTGTTCTCTTTCTTTCTTAAGAACAATAGAATATTGGAGTTAGGGTGGTGTGAGAAATGAGGGGGATGGGATAAAGTTTGATATAATTAATGGATTATTTAAGTTTAGAATTTTAAGTAAATTTTTGGAAATAAAGGAAATGTCTACATTTTATTTTTAATTTTGAAGTTGGAGCAAGAATTTATTCCTGCTGGATATACTTCTCCTCAGGATTCACTCAGGATTTCTGATAATTATTCATTCAAATTTCAATATTATACCTATTACTTACAGCTCACTGAAGAGAGGTGTCAAAATTCATGGGTAGTGTTCCACTTTCTAATACCTGATTTCCCTAAGAACATAAAAATAACAGCAGCAAAAAATTTGGCAATTATTTGTTGAGCACCTACTTTGTGCCAAGTACTGTCTTAGATGATGGGACACAGAGAAGAAATAAGACCCTGTCCGAGCTCTCAAGGAGCATAGAGAAAGAAGTAGGGCAGATAATTTTATACACACACACATACATACATATATGTGCATATATAAAATTATACATAATATTAGTTTTTAAAGTTATTGCAGTTTTTGCCATTTTTAGGGGAAAACAATTATAAAGCTAATTTCTGCTTAAGATTTGTAAGACAAATTCTATGGCAATATTACATGGGAAGTGTTAATGAGAAAGTAGTATATATAAGGATTTATTGAGCTATAATAAGCAACAATAAGCTGCACATATTTAAAATGTACAATTTAATAGGTGTTGAAATATATATTCACTCATGAAACCATCATCATGATCCAGATAGTGAACGTAGGGATATATACTCATCACAACCAGAAGTTTCCTTGTGCCCTTTTAAATCCCTCCATCCCTGTACCGTATAAATTGGCAAATGTTCTGTGAGTACTTGAAAAGAACTGAGTGCATTATGTTACTTGGCTATTGTTGAGTGGTTTGTTTTATAATTGTCAATTAGGTCAAGTTGGTTGATAATGTTGTTTGGTGGTCTGTATCCTCACTTATTTTCTGTCCACTAGATTGATCAGTTATTGGCAGAGGGGTATTGACATCTTCAAGTATAATTGTGGATTTGTTTATTTATTTGTAGAGTTCTATCAGTTTTTGCTTCATTCATTTTGAAGCTATGTTATTAGGTGCATAAACATTTAGGATTGTTATGTCCTCTTGATGACCTCTTTATTATGAAATAGACTTCTTTATTTCTGCTAATATCATTTTTGTCTGAAATCTAGTTTGTCTGATATTAATATAGCTGATACAGCTTCTTTTGATTAGTATAAGCATGGTATATATTTCTTTCTTTTAAACTGTTTGTATTTTGAAAGTTTGCTTCTTATAGGTGGGATATAGTTGGGTGTTGCCCTTTTTAAAAGAAGTTCAATTTGATAATGTCTGCAGTGTTTAGACCATTTACATTTAATGCAATTATTTATAATTAGGTTTGAGTCTATCATCTCACTATGTTTTTTGTGTTCTGCTCTTTGCTCCTTTTTGCTCTTCTTTTGAACTACTTTTGGATTGAGTTTTCAAAATGATTCCATTTTATCTCTTTTCTTGGTTTATTAGGTGTAATTCTTTGTTTTGCTATATTAATGGTTGCTTCAGCATTTGTGGTATATGTTTCTTTTATCACAGTCCACCTTTTTATTATACCACTTCATGTATAGTATAAGAATCTTATGGTAGTACTTTCACTTCTCCCCTTGTTTATGCTATTGTTGCCAGAACTTTCACTTATACATATATTGTAAACCCCATAACACATTATGTTTGTTTAAACAACTATCTTTTAAAGAGATTTATATAATAAAAAAGTTTTATATATCTACACATGTAGTTACAATTTCTGGTGTACTTTATTCCTTTGTGTAGATCCATATTTCTTTTTTTGTGATTATTATAGAGTTTTGATTTTTTAATTAATATTATACTTTAAGTTCTAGGGTACATGTGCACAGCGTGAAGGTTTGTTACATATGTATACATGTGTCATGTTGGTGTGCTGCACCCATTAACTTGTCATTTACATTAGGTATATCTCCTAATGCTATCCCTCCCCCCTCCCCCCATCCCACGACAGGCCCCAGTGTGTGGTGTTCCCCATCCCATGTCCAAGTGTTCTCATTGTTCAATTCCCACCTATGAGTGAGAACATGCAGTATTTGGTTTTCTGTCCTTGTGATAGTTTGCTCAGAATGACGGTTTCCAGCTTCATCCATGTCCCTACAAAGAACATGAACCCATCCTTTTTTATGGCTGCATAGTATTCCATGGTGTATATATGCCACATTTTCTTAATCCAGTCTATCATTGATGGACATTTGGGTTGGTTTCAAGTCTTTGCTATCGTGAATAGTGCCACAATAAACATTCGTGTGCATGTGTCTTTATAGCAGCATGATTTATAGTCCTTTGGGTATATACCCAGTAATGGGATGGCTGGGTCAAATGGTATTTCTAGTTCTGGATCCTTGAGGAATCGCCATACTGTCTTCCACAATGGTTGAACTAGTTTACAGTCCCACCAACAGTGTAAAAGTGTTCCTATTTCTCCACATCCTCTCCAGCACCTGTTGTTTCCTGACTTTTTAATGATCGCCATTCTAACTGGTGTGAGACGGTATCACATTGTGGTTTTGATTTGCATTTCTCTGATGGCCAGAGATGATGAGCATTTTTTCATGTATCTGTTGGCTGCATAAATGTCTTCTTTTGAGAAGTGTCTGTTCATATGTTTTGCCCACTTTTTGATGGGGTTGTTTTTTCTTGTAAATTTGTTTAAGTTCTTTGTAGATTCTGGATATTAGCCCTTTGTCGGATGGGTAGATTGCAAAAATTTTCTCCCATTCTGTAGGTTGTCTGTTCACTTTGATGGTAGTTTCGCTGGCTGTGCGGAAGCTCTTTAGTTTCATTAGATCCCATTTGTCAATTTTGGCTTTTGTTGCCATTGCTTTTGGTGTTTTTGACATGAAGTCCTTGCCCATGCCTATGTCCTGAATGGTATTGCCTAGGTTTTCTTCTAGGGTTTTTATGGTTTTAGGTCTAACATTTAAGTCTTTAATCCATCTTGAATTAATTTTTGTATAAGGTGTAAGGAAGGGATCTAGTTTCGGCTTTCTACATATAGCTAGCCAGTTTTCCCAGCACCATTTATTAAATAGGGAATCCTTTCCCCATTTCTTGTTTTTGTCAGGTTTGTCAAAGATCTGATGGTTGTAGATCCATATTTCTAACTGCATCATTTTCTTTCTGTCTGAAGGACTTTGCTTAACATCTCTTTTAGTGTGACTCTGCTAATGATAATTTTTTTTCAGCTTTTGTATGTATGAAAACATGTTTCACCTTCATTTTTGAAATATATATTTTTTTGCTGGGAATAGAATTCTAGATTAAAAGCTTTTCTTTTCTTTTCCTTTCAGTGCTGTACAGATATTGCTGTCTTCTTCATTGTATGGTTTCTGGCAAAAAATCACTGTCACCCTTATCTTTGTTCCTCTGAATGTAAGGTGACATATTTTCCTCTGGATGCCTTTAAGACTCTCTTTATGACAAGTTTTGCATAACTTAACTATGACATGAGTTGGTATTTTCTTCATGTTTCATGTGCTAGGGAGTTCATTGAGCTTCTTGTATCTATGGGTTTATAGATTTCACCAAATTTGGAAAAATAAAGCCATTATTTCTTCAAATTATTTTTTGTTCTCCTTCTCTTTTGGGGCCTCGAATAACACATATGTTAAACTGCTTGAAGTTATTTCACAGCTCACTGACAGCCTTTCATTTTTAAGAATTCTTTTTCTCTTTGCATTTCTTTTTGAATAGTCAATATTGCTATGTCTTTAAGTTCACCAATATTTTCTTTGGTAATATCTAACCTACTGTTAATTCCATCTATTATATTTTTATCTCATACATTGTAGTTTTAATCTCTAGAAGCTGAACTTGGGTCTTTAAAAAATATCTTCTTTGTGTCTACTTAGATTTTGGATCTATGAAATATAATTATAAACATTGTTTTAATGCCCTCACCTGTAAATTCTAAAATCTGTGTTGGTTCTGAGTTTGTTTCAATTGATTGATTTTTCTCTTCATTATAAGTCATATTTTTCTGCTTCCTTGTAGGCCTAGTTACCTTTGGTTGGATGACAGATATAAACACATTGTTGAACTTTATTCTGAGACAGTTTAGATCTCTTTGAGTCTTGTCTTCACAATTTGTTAGGAGGAACAGAGCCATGCCTAGTCTAGGGCTAATTATTCCTCACTACTAAGGTAAGATGCTTCTGAGTACTCTACCTAATGCAGGAATTTTTAGGTTTTCTGTTCTGGCTGGTAAAGACAAACACTATTCCTGGCATGGTGTGGCCACTGGCCACTGTTCCCTCTAATAGCAAACAAGAAAGACACAGTAACTTCCCTCATAGTCTATTGGGAGTTAATTAATGCTGAGTGATGACAGAACTATGGGAGTATATTGGAGGAAAACTTAACTATATTAGAAAGATCAGATAAATTTTTTTGGAGAAAATTATGCCTAAATGAAGTTGAAATCTGAGTAGGTGCTGTTCAAAGAACAGAAAGAAGTGCATTTCAGTAAAAGGAAACAACACACGTGAATGTCTAAGATAAGATAGAGCAGAGCCAGGTTGGTTTGAAAATTTAAAATTAATCCTTAATGGCTGTACTGTACTGAAGAGTATGAAGAGTAATGGCAGGAGGGTGCCATTGCAATGACTCTTACAAGCAACATAGCATTAACAATACAGGCTCTAGAATCAGACAACCTGAGTTCAAATTGCATCTCTGCCATTTATTAGCCTCAGTTTCCCAATTTTTATATAAAAATATTGACTATTTTACTAGGATTAGGTCAGGTTACATATAATAAAAAATCTAAAAAATCAGTAGCTTAAGAAAGGTGGAACCTTACATTTTCTGTCTGTAAGAAGTGTCATCAGAACATTTTAGGCTCCTTCTGTCTTTCTCTTCTATCTTCCTAATGCCAGGTCCAAGATGGCTGCTGGAGCTTCAGCCATCGAATCTACTCTTCAGACAGAAGGAGGGAGGAGGTGGGGAAGGGCAAAAGCAGTGATAACTTTCTTTAAGGAACGATCTCTGAAATCCCAAACAATATTTCTGCATAAATCTCATTGGTTAGAAATTTTTTGTATGGCTGTTCCCGCTTGTGAAGGAAGCTGAGCAATGTAGTCCTTTAAAGTTAGCAATATTGCCATCATAAATAAAGTTAGGGTTCTAATGCTGAGGATAAAAGGGAGAATGGCTATTGTGGGTGAGTAAGAAATAATTTCTTCCATACCTATTTCATAGGCTTAATACAAGGATTAAAATAAATACTTGGCATAGGGTCTAGCATGTATTAATTGCTCAGAAAATGTTATGTTGTCAGAGGTGATTCCAAACAACCATTTTGCGGAAACATTGTATAAAAGGACATTGGTGCTAAGCTGAAGGATCTCTTCCCTACACTTTTATGAACTGTTTTTTCCCCCTCTCTGCTGTAGTGTAGGTGGGTGTCTGTGACACCAAGCATATGACTAACAGCACAAGAACAAATGAATAAGTCTTCTTCACACTGTAGTGGGGTAATATACCCCACATCTAATTGCCCTTTGTTGAGCTCAAGAGTTATTAATCTTTGTTAGAAAGACATGCTAATTGTGCCTGATCAACCTGATAAAATAAGCAAATCATAAAGCCAACGAAGTAGAAATCAAACAGAAAGAAAATGAAATTTTTTTTTGTCATAAGGCCACCATATTTACTCATGATGTGAAGTAAACAGTCATTTATTGACTCAAGTTCCTTCATTTATATTGTATCTGTGGCTGTTTGCTTTAAGAATTTAGCTTTCATCAGTAGGTAGAGAAAGCTGCTCACCTCTACCTTCATATGCTGGCATCAGCATCATCATCATGTCACCAACATTACCTTCCCTGTCATCATGATTACCCCCAGTGCAGGGACATTTTTGCTCATCTAGAATTAGGTTAGCAGGAGATGGTAAACAAAGAAGGAGCCCAGGGACACACTTTCTGTTGGTCTGCCTGACTGTGAATAGATCTAGCTGGAGAGTTAACTATACACTAAGAGATGAAGCTATCATCATTTGGAAAAGTAAGGCTGGGAGGCAAGCCCATTAAAAACAAAGGGGGTTTGACTTATCACTACATGTGACCATGTGCTTTTAAATGTTGACAGCTTCTATAAAAATTCCCTCTTCCTCACATGTGGTCAACTTGACTGACTGTAGTGAAAACTGGCAAGGTCTGACCCTTCCCATTTATCTCAGCCAGAGCCAGATAACCTTGCCCTGTAGTCCAAAAATACCCTGCCCTTCCCAGTATTCTTTTTATCTCTGGCTGTCATGATAAAGATGAACCTGGGCCTTGAAAACGATGTGTAGACTCGGAAAACTGGGCATTCCCACCCTTGCAACCCAAACACACTGGACATTTGTTTTCAAGAATTGTGACCACAGCCCAGGACCTCAGTGAGAAGGGGTGAGGTGAGGACACTTGCAGGTTTTCTAAGGTTTCTGCTGCCCCAAATGGTAGCTGCTCCTCAGGGCTGCAGAGTGCCCCAGCAGTTTGGCTTTCCACTCTCAGTGGCTTGTCCGTCCTGGAATACTGCTTGTTGGAGTAGCAGAATTAGGAGTCAGAAGTCTTTGTTCTAGTCTTAGTTTGTCAACAAATTCTGTCGGCCTAGAGAAATCCACTCAGATTTTTGGGGTTTCTACTTGTTCATCTGTAAAACAACACAATCAATAGATCATTTTCTGAAATCGTCCAACTCTTCTTACATGAGTGATTCTTTTCTCTTGCTATAAATACCTTAAATATTCAATGTAATTCCTCAAATTTTGCCTTATTAAACTTCCTCTGATGGTTGTCTTTAGTATCGTTCTGTATTATCTCTCCTGTCTCCATCTGGGATGCCAAGCACATGAACTCTGAAATAGGTGGTAATTCAATGTGGTGAGTGCCCCCCATATCTGTGTGCCTTCCACTAGCTGCCCAGAGTTTCATTAGTTCCTAGGGCTGATCTCAGATAAACAAGATGATGTTTTTGGCCTACAGTTGGTTGGAGCTACTGGTGTGTTCCTGGCAGTTTACAGAATTATAGAAACAGAAAAGCTTTTCAGTATGGTCTCAGGAAAAACATTCCAGGAAACATGAATCAAGCAGAAAGAAATATACGTGCCTGCCCTTAAGTGAGGCTTGGGACTAATCACTCAGACTATCCTCTCAGTCAGATTGGGGAAGGACATTCCACACTTTGCTTAGTATAAAATGAGATTTAGGCTTTTGGAGAGATTGTGCTTGTTTGGCCAACCCAAGTTCAGCACTAATTGGGTTCTGGAAAGCATTATTGACCTGCCTGATTTGGAGTATGTCTCCTGAATTTTGCAGCTCGGGTCAGAGCTTACACAAGCTTGACGTGAGCTGCATTTGGCCTGAAACTAGTACAGTAGATGGAGCCCAAATGTTTTAAACTGTCCATAAGCAGATTGTTATTATGAATGAACTTTTTAAATTATCAGCTTTACTGTATTTAAAAATGACCTTTTGAAGTGATGCTTCAGAAGTGCGATACATACCAATGTGAGCAAGTCTTTGACTTGATTAGATCCCAATACCTTTACCTTGATGAAATTGCAACTGATTAACATTCTCAAATGAGATGGAGCTATAAATGTAAGTGGGTTTTAATACAATCATTTTTGAGAAAATGTCAAACTTCATTGCACACCTCTTTCTCCCGCCTCCTCCTTTAATGGCAGAGTTCAGTGAAGGACTGAACCAGATTAATGAGCGAGGGACAGAGGGGATTTTGGAGCCAAGAAAAAGACCACATAGCACATCAGTCTCTAATTTAATAATCTCAGCAGGCTATTCAGTGAGCTAGTATCATTGAACTTCCCCGATGGTATTTATGTACCTGTGGAAGGAAAAGTGAGGGAGAAACTAGGGCTGTGTTTATAGACATAAGGGAGACAGGAAGAGAGCAAAATTGTCAGCCTGAGAAGTCTGTGACCTGGAACAAAAAAGCATAATTGGCTAAGTAAATCCACATAATTAAATTAAATATGAATAGCCACTGATTGAGAATTGCACCATGGACAGAATACGCTTGCTGTTAATGACCCACGATTTATTTACACCTTAAACACCGTGTTTCCTTACTGCTCTAAAGTAGTAAAATTGCCTTCTTCCTGGTGAAATTTATTGCCATTTAAACATGCCAAAAGGCCATTCTGGCAGTCATTACAATAATCTATCATTTCTGCAACTGCTGGTATCCTGTTCTGTGGTCAAATTCAATCTGAGAAGGGTCAACAGAATTTTTTCCACCAAATGCTTCCCTCTTGACTATCATCAATTTACTTTTGTCAACAAAAAGGGCATTACTAGGGAATGAAATAGAAGATCCCCTTAAGACCTCTGGCAAACAGCATGAGCTGCCCTGCCCCACTCTTCAGCCTGAGTCTGCCTTTGTGCATGTGACTGCACAGTGGGGCCATGTCATGCAGAAGCACGGGCAGGAACCCTGCCACCTGCCTGTTGTTCTCTCCAGCGACAAAAAAAAAAAAAAAAAAGGCACATTGACAGTAGCTTACACTCTAGTTTCTGGTGTCCAGTGGGACTGGCATTTTCTTTGAAGGAGGAACTTTTTGGGTTTAGAGATTAATTGTTGCCATAGTTTGTTGCATTGCTATTCTCCTCTCTTCCTTTCTGCATCCCCTAATACCTCTTTTTTTTTTAATCTTTTATTCTATGACACTTCTTATTCAACTTTCAGATCACACAATTCCAACTGCTGTTCACAGTAGGAGATGCTTGCTCTGTAGCATAGAAAGAAAAGAAAATGTCCTTTGGCATTGAAAGGTAAGCTTTCATATTATCTCTGCTCAGGAAAAATGGTGTGGAAAATTAAAGGAAAAAAATACAGTTAATTCAGGTTTCCACCAGTAAATTTTTGGACAAACTTAGAGAACAGTGATATTTCTTTTTATGAGAGTGAGGAGAAGGACTTGAATAGCTGGAACCTTTTCTGTATTGTCTCTCTCGGTTAATATTTGAGGACACAGCCTCATCCCAGGTTTCTTCTTTTGAGGTCAGTTGTTGCCTCGTCTGTGGATAGGAGGCAGCAGCAAGGCAAAACAAGGGACTCCCTCTACATTACAACTAACTAATGGTGACTGCATCACCCCTCGGCCCATCACCTGTTCACAGAGAATTTTGGTTTTGTTGACATAGGCTGGCAATGGATTATAATTTATAATCAACAGATTTAATTGTGAATGGTCAGACTGCAAACTTGAGAATTACATAGTGTTTCTAGTGGATTTTTTGGGGGGAGGAGTGAAAACAAAAATTACATTTCTTTCTAGGTTTTATAATTTTATTTTTATAGTTAATGTCTATTTCACCTAGAATACATTATGGTATAAATTGCAAGGTTTCCAGTTAATAAGCAAGTTGTCCTAAATGTTTTCTGTTGCTAAAAATTAAGTTTTTAATTATATATAAAGACTTCAATGAGCAGACAGCTATTCTTCTTTGGCTTTTGGACACCTATTTTGGCATAATTCACCCTTTGTTAGGTTTTAGTTTGTATGTAGTTTAGGTCTACTTTTGACTTTGCGTATTGTGTGGGCAAATTCGTAAATTGAGTTTATCTAGATGTGCCCAAGTAAAGTCTCGTTTTAAGTGAAGTGAAACAACAAAATTATGAGTAGTCTGTAGATTGGAGTAAATTAAACTTAATGAGGCAATTTACAATAGCATCTCATACAAATGTACAGATATTTATGCACATTTGGATGCTCTTATAATTTAAAACAATGATGCCAATCTCCCAGCCTTATAGAAAGCATTTTTTTCTTATTGCAAAAAGATACATATTTATTGTAGAAAAAAATAGAAAATACAAAGAAGAAAAAAATTACTAATCCTACAACATAGAGCTAATCATTGTTATAATAATATCCAGGTGTGCATAATTCTATTATATTACATGTATTTTGTATTTTTATACATATGAAAAAAGAAAACTATGTATGTACACTTTGGGTTTTATACAAGATGTTCATAGGACTATTCACGATAGCAAACTCCTGCAGGCAATTTGAATATCTCTCAAGGTAAACTGTAGTTCTTTCATACAATGGAATGTTATGTAGCAGCAAAAATGAATAAACTAAATAAAGCTGCACACAAAAAATATGTAAATTTTACCAATATAATTTGCAGCAAAAAGCAAGCCCCCAAAGATTACATATAGCATGATTCTCTTTTTATCGTGGTTAAAAACTAAAAATATGTGTACCTACTGTTTAGAAATACAAATAGAGGTATAATAATAGAAATTGGAGGGTTCACTACAAAGGTGGGAGTCACAGTGGAGTCATTGCCTGATGTCTACATTTGGGGAATCAAGGTCCAAAAACTGCATACACGACTTTTCTGTTCCAATTCACATCTCTGCTTCCAGGCTTTTGGTATCTCAGTTTTGGCACTGTTGTCATACTAGGCCAGATAATCCTTTGTTGTAGGGTACTGTCCTGTGCATTGTAGAATGTTTAGCACAGTTGTAGCCTAGATTCAGTAGCACCCTCCCCACAAGTTGTGATAAGTATGAATGTCTTTAGACATTGCCCAATGCCTCTTTGTAGGCAAAATTGACCCCCATTTAGAACCACTATGTTAGGAAAATGCAGATTGATTGTCGTTGACTCAAAAAGAACATAAATGGTAAAGTGGATCTTGTTTGAAAAATTCGATGTCTTTAAAATGTAGAAAATTCGATGTCTTTAAATCTCCACTTGGGATTATTTATACTACCAAATACTACAAAATTTAGCTCCCATTTGGTTGATTTTTGGTGTTGGGGAAGCCCACTGAAATAACATAGCACAGCCCACTGAAATGACCTGGAACAGAAGTGGATTTTGCTGTTTTATTAAAAAGTCCTTTGTAAAACTCACTGACATATTTTTGTTGGCTCCTACAGAACTCTATTCTGCAACATCATTGATTCTCTAAGCAGTATAGGAACTTCTGGTAGTGAACCCATCCTGCTGGGTGACCTCAGGGAAGCCACTGCGCTTCATCAATCCCACATGAGAGAAAAAAGAGCAGCCATAACAATTAAACTGGCTAGCCTAGAAGACCTCCTGAAGAAAGGTCTGTGTGAAGACAAACTTGTAATATTTATTGTGATTGTCGGCCCCCCAGGTGCCTTTTGAAGAATTCTGTCTGATTTACCAATCAGGCAGCTGCCCCATGGATATGCATGAAGTGAGACGCAAGGACTGGGGGTGGGGTGGGGATGGCGAGCGTGACCAGGTTGACGGCAGTGCTCCAAAGGTGACCTCATATTTACCGCCAGATGTTCAAACCATTTCTAAATATTGTACAGTCTTGGTGTGCCATTTTCTCTTCTTGCTAAACTTTGGGAAGCAAGCAAGACTTCAGAATTTTAATGCTCACTTTAGCCTGTGAAAGACACGGTAATGTTCAAAAGTAGCTTGACCTTTTCATTGTTCATTGCTGATTGGTTGACTGACCATTCCTATTCTCTATTCCAACTGCTTCAGCAAACTCCTTGTCTCCTTCCCTCTTAGTACCAGGTACATAATTCTACTGAGGTCCTGGCTTTTTTCTAGTACATTTATTTGCTAAGATCTTGTTCATCTTAATGTAGCTCAGGATTATTTTTTTTTTCAAGGTGGGAAAAAAATGATGGAATGAAAGCTTAGCAGAAAAATCAAAATCAATGAATGCCAGTGTCAAGAATTGCCCTTTCAGCAACCAAAAGGAACTGTGTGATAGGCTAGCTTATATCAGAAATTGAGCATTGTCCTCACCTTCAAATAGGACGGGCCATTAAAATGTCTTTGAGGAAGAACACTTTGATTCCAACTAATTCCAGACAAGAAGGGGGTATACAGAATAAAAACAATACCCCTTTCAAATATTTTCTTTGCTGTTATCATCAGTAGCTCTAGCTACATACCTAGTTACTTAAGAAATTCTTTTAGTCTCAATTTATCAAAATAATTTCCTTGATGATTAGATTTCCTATCTATCCTGGCTAGAAATTCCCACCATTAGAATCATTCTTACACATTAAGATAGGAATATTTACCCTAGATGCCATTACTGGAATAAACATGTGTTGTCAGGAAAAGATAGAAGAATTAGGGAGGAGAAAAGGACAAATCATCTTCCATGAAAACACCTTCAAAAAATTAGCATTAAGTAGTTGACCCAACTAACCATTTCAACATTGAAAGCAAAGAATAAGGTCTGGGGTATAGGATAAAGGAAAAACAAACTTTAAATAAACCTTCCTTGTCTGATATTAACTCTAAGAATGTGACATTGAATCCATTGGCTACAGCAGGCTTTGTCTGTTCTCAAACCATCTGTATTTCTTGGCTATAGAATAAGACACACTCATGAAAAGAAGCTGGGGTATTGAATCTATCACTGAAGTAGTGACAACGCTGTCAGCTTTAACTAGACAGAGGGAGCAATCTTTTAGTATGATCTTCACTACTTACAGATAAAGTAATCACTAAACACATGTTAGATGACACAAAGATGTCTGTTCAATGACACTTTCCTGAAAATGAAGAGCAGAGGCTCACCAGGCAATATGAAACACATGAACCAATAAGAATGGAGGCTTTTCTTCCCCCATGTTAGGTACTCTATCCTGACACTTCACAAGTAGACTCATCTATAAAGGGATTAACTAAGAAATAATTGCATGCAGCTTGCACCCTGCTGAGCTATCTTATGCATACTTATCAAGGATCCTTTTGAAGTGGGCAGAGATCTACTAGGTGCTTTACAAGCAATTAAAGTCATAATAAAGAAGTCCATTTGGAATGACACTAATAAAAAACAGTCTATTTTTCTTTTTGCATTTTAGATGGAATAAAGACTGCTTTAGACTGTGAGTTCTGAGGAGGCAGGGAGGGACTGAGTCTGCCCTCTTCATGCTGTCTTCCCAGCACTTAGCATGTGCATATTAAAATTTGTAGGATGAGTGAATTAATGAAGGAATACTTGCATTATATGCAAGTAGACAGAAAAGAGAAAAAAAGAGAGAATACTCTTTTTTTTTTTTTTTGAGACAGTCTCACTTTGTAATCTAGGCTGGAGTGTTGTGGCACAATCTTGTCTCATTGCAGCCTCTGTCTCCCAGGTGCAAGTGATTCTTGTGCCTCAACCTGTGAGCAGCTGGTATTACAGGTATGCGCCTCCATGCCTGGTTAATTTTTGTATCTTTAGTAGAGATGGGGTTTTGCCATGTTAGGCAGGCTGGTCTTGAATTCCTGGCCTCAACTGATCTGTCTGCTTCAGCCTCCCAAAGCGCCGGGATTATAAGTGTGAGCCACAGTGCCTGGCCTATATCAGTTTTTATATGCAATATTATTGATAAAGGGAAAGACAGTCAAGATGTGAATTTCTCTATAATAATTGCTAACACTTAATATTTACTATGTTACAAGGACTGTTTTATACGTATGAACACATTTAATCCTTCAACAACCATATGCATAGGCACTATTTTAATACCATTTACCTATAAAGGGGTTGAAGCTTAGAGAGGTAACTTGCCCAAGACTATGCAGGTGGAACCAGAATTTGTACTCAGGTCTAACCAATTTAGAGAATCCACTACACTTCTGGAGTGAAATTTAGTAGCTTACTGAATTAGTTCTAGATCTCAGGATTCCATTGATCTAGTGAGGTGCAAACCATTCTTGAAATTTGATCACATCCTATCTTCTTCTTCTTTTCTTTCTTCTTCTTGTTTTATTCCTCTTCCCCTTTTTTCTTACCTTCTTGCCTTCCTCTACCCCACAGTGGCAGACCTGATTTGGTTCCATCACTCATTGTCTTTTCCTGTTTCTCTTAGTCTGTGTTTCTTCATCTGAGAAATGCAGTAGTATTTCAGAGGGTTATTGTGATGATGAAATGACATGATATATTAAGTGCTACCATAATACTTGGTCACATTGGAAAAATTCAGCAAAATATTTAGTTCTTCCCTTTCTCCTCTATGTTCTTTCTCGGAAAATGATGACCAAGCCACGATGTCAGAGAGTAGGGCAACAAGAAGGAATATAAGATGAAACAAGAAGTCTGGGTGTAGTTCCACCTGGACAAGTCTTGTGTATTCAGTGTCACTAGGTTGCTTTCTTTTGAGGAGTTTAAAATCACTTTGCATTCAGGAAGGAGCATCTTTTTTGATCAAGCTCCACATGATGTCCCATTTTAGTTTCTCAATAGGAGTCACCAAGTGAACCAGTGGCACATCCTCAAGTCTCTGAGTGGACTTTGAAATGTATTCTTCAGATCATTGTTTGAGGTACCTCACCTACAACTCAGAAGGGTCCCCTGGACCTGTGCCCAGTCTATGGGTTTTAATACTCTTGGAAGGAACCATCTAGTTTATGGTAGTGTTAACCAGTAACTTGGCCTTTTTCTCCAGGACTTAAGGGCTGGTGTTAAGGCACCTGAAAAACAGAGAAGCCAAATGAATAAGACATTTCTCACAGTTACGTCAACTTTGGCTTTGTTTGGTTTTCAAGGAGTTGCAAACATCAGTATTTGCAGAAGTAAATTCAAACTTTTGGGGGCCTAAAGCTTATATAATTCAGTAGGTATTCTTTAAGAGAAAATTTCAAAGTATCACTTGACCATATTGCTAGGGGCCCTGGCAAGGCTTTGGAAGAAGCCCATGCTATGAGGGACTCTGCAAATAAACTTTATGAGTTACATGTTAAGTCCACCTATGGTCATGTCACTCCTTAAATCAAGTAAAGCCTTGTTGGACCCTCTGCCAGGACCTCAGTGGGTTCATTTTATTGGGCACTCATGCCCACTTGTATAAAAAGATCTGTTCTTCTTTCCCTTTGCTTTTTGACTGTTTAAAGGAAGTCTGTTTTTCTCATCTTGAAATTATTAAAGGATTTCAAGTATTGCTATAAAGGGAGCCTTGGCAGGCAGATTATAATGATTGATTTAAAACAATAGCTAATATTTTAAAGCATTTACCATGTGTTAGACTCTGGGATAAACACCGTATATGTAGCATCCTACTTCTTTTCTATTTCTAAAAAGTAGCTTTCTCAAGCCCCGTAGAGAGAAGAGACAGGGTTCAAACTTAGGCCCATATGATTAAATTAGAATTCAAGTTGTTAACCACTTTGCTATAAACTGATTAAACCAGCAGCAGGTGACACGAGTTGTTCTATGTGCAACAGAAAAGCAGGAGGCAATTTGGGATCCACTTCTCTTTCAACTCATTCTCCTTTCTCTCCTCTTCTTTAACTAACTGTGTATCTATTAGCAAATGACTGAATTCTTCTACACCTCAGGTGCCTCAGTTGTAAAATGGGACAATTGTGCCTTATCTGCTTGAAAGCTGCTGGTTAGATCATATGTCCATGTTCCTTCTAGGTTTAAGCTCTATAATTACTCAACTACTGCTCAAGTTCCTAAACACCTGTCTTGGTATTTGCCTGAATTCAGATCTTAAATAAATAACTGATATCCAAATGTGGTCCCAGAGTTTAGGAGGGAGCCAGTCATCAAACAGAGGTCTCTAGTGGAATGAGCCAGTGTTGAGACTTTGAAAAACAAAGATCAGTCTGAAGAAGTTCAAAGAGAGGAAGAAAAAGGTATGTTCCTGGTTAAATGCACCCATGTTGAACTGAAGACTCAGAAAAGTTCTTTCATTTTATTTTATGTTGGACTGACTTTTAAGAAAACAATCTTGGAAGTGTTTATTTTATAACTCTAACAGCGTCCAAGAAAATGGGAACAGCCAAACTCTGGAAAAGCACAGTTGTGAATAGAACTCATTTTCAGTAAGCAGAAAGACTTTTCCTGTCCTGGACCTACATGACCATAGTGACACTGCCCCCACTCCATGACCCGCAAAAGGAGAACAAAAGACACTGGATAGGGCTTCCTGAGTGAAAAAGCTCGGTCTCTGATGCCTCTTCTTAAAGCGGGTCATTTGGAAGCTCATCCCCAATTGCACAATGGGAAAGGAAGTCATATTTGTTCTTTTGATTAGACTGCAGACAGATTATGATCTAGTAATTTTGGCAATAGGATGTTATCTGAAACAGACCAGAATGGACTACAATTTATATTTTCCAGCATTGATGATGTATATGTGGACAGTATTTCTGCTTTCTTCCTGTGAGTTCTGTGGTATTTAAGCAGTTCTAACCAAACAGACATTTCTTAGACCTTTGCTTGTACTATTTGGATTTGTCCAAGTTAATTTTAGTACAATGGCCATTGTGCATGTGTGCATGTGTGTTTGTCCATGTGCCTGTGAGTGCTGCTGATATCTGAAAAGCACAGAGCAGAGATAGAAATGAGTAAAGGGATAATACCACCAGTTCTTACTACATACATGCACCCTGTGATTTTAACCCTTTTTAATACTTTACCAAAATGTTATATTGAGAGTCAAATCCTATTGCTATTAATCTGTAACAAAAATGTGTTACATTTTTGATGAAGTCTGGTTGTGGATACTTCAAAACATTTATCATTGTTTAGGGTCTTTTCTTCCAGACTTCTGTCCAGCTTGTTAAAGGTGACAATGCTGTAATGCAAAATAACATCAGATGACAGAATTCCAAAGAAAGGTTACTAGTCTAGGTTCTGGTACTACCTATTCATATGACCTTAAGCAAGTCTTTCAGTATTGCAGGATCCATTTCCCCAAGCAAATTAGAAATGAATATAACCCATTGCCTCTCCCATAGACTGAAGTGATGACCAAATGAATGAATGTATTTGTGGAATTTAAGTACTATGAAAATGGAAGATGTCATTAATGTTTTAGATTGCAGGCTTTTTTTTTTTTTTGGCTCTAACATGTAGAAGATGTAAAGAACATAATCAGGTGGCAAGAAATGTAAATTTATTCCTGCAGCAAGAATAGACAGACCATTTCTCTAGTTTTCTGGCCAGACTATGCACAGGCATATGATTATGATATCTGTTCTGTAGATAAGAACAGCCACTTGAAGACATATAGAGGGTCCATAAGGAGGTATAAGATTTAGCTGGAATATTGAGTTTTGTCTAATAGTAAAGCAATCCTTCCAAACATAGATGGCTAATAGATGAGGTTTAATGCAGTATATAGATGCTTTCAACCTGGTCACACATCAAAATGTGTGGCACTTTCTAAAACTACACATTCATGGATCCCTCTCCTGGAGATTTTTGATGTAGAGGTTTGGGTATTTGTACAGTTGAGAGCCATTGCTGTGCCTTTATAGTTACTGACTAAAGTCATTACTGTGGAATACAGTGAGCTTAATGTTTCCGTTGGTTGTAGCTGGATTTTGCCAATGTCACCCACATTGCGTGGGTCTTCATTAACACCGAGGTCTTCACTCTTACACTCTTTTCAGCTTGCATACCATCTGGTTAATCTGCCTTTCCTCCCGAGCTTCCAGTTTCTGCTCTAAGCTTGCAACCTTCTTGGCATTCCTTTTAATCCACCCACTGATGATTGAGGCCATCGCAGGCTCTATCAACCACAAGTGCCTCCTTTATAAGTGATCTCTCTTAAAACCAGCTCAAATGTCAGCCTTCCATGACGCCTTTCCAAACCAGGTAAAAGAGAAATGTGGATACTTGCCACCTTACTTCTGTAGCTTTTATGGATAGGGATTAGTATAATGAAAGCAATATTTTAGAAAGATTAAGCTGGAATTCGGGTGCTGAATGGCTATCAGGGAGCTAAGAATGAGAGTAAGAACATCAGGTGGAATTTTATTACTTTGGTCTAGAGGGATGATGGGAGAATGATGTAATTTCCTAGTTGACTGAAGTGGGGATGGTAGTGGTAGTGAGGAGTGTGGAGGATGGAATTGGTCTGGGGAGAGCAGTGAGTCTGGTTTTAAACATCCAAGGAGTTGAGTGACAATAGGACTTTTTGTAAGATTGTAGTCCACGAGTGCAAATTTCACTAGTAAACAGTATAGCTGGAAGCCCCTGAACAAGGGAACAGAAATATTTGAGGTCTTGATTCCAATTCTCACTAGTTGCATGCCCTTGGGCTCCTCACTTATGATTTCTCTGCTTCCATTTCTTTCTCTGAGGATCATAACACCTGCTGTAATTACCACACATGCCAGAATATGTGGATAACATAGGCATCACATTTCTGGTTTCCTTATGTGATAAGGTGTTTGGAAAGACTCCACTGGAAGAAGAAAGGCCATCTGTAAATGTGGCCTAGGGAACAGACACCATAAGCACTGCAGCTTCTTCCTACCTCTGGGTTATGCATGTTGCTCTTGGACTTTAAAGGCCTGGTCTTTGCAGTCCAACTGCACTGGGTTTGTTAATAAATGACATCCAGGGAACAGCTCTGGCATCAGGATTTGTCTATTCAGGCAGGGCTTCCTGGAGTGAGGCAGCATGCTGCCTCAACAGAGAACTCTGTTTATCACTTTGGAGATGCAATAAAAATAACAAATGTCCAGAGTAAACCTAATTCACTATGCTACTTAGTATTTGAAATACATAAATATGTCAAGCAAAAGACCTCTAATAGACCCTTTTATCCTGGTAATAGTGTACATATAATTTTCCTCTCATTAGTACAAAAACTACCTAGGGAACTCTCGGCCCATCCTTCATCCATTTAATCTGCATTAGCTTACTTTTACCTTGTGTTTAATCTGCTTTCCCTCAAGGTATTTTGAATAAATCAATAGGAATACATGATTGTTTAATGATTTTTAGAAGAGCTCCCTTCGACCACAGCTGCATGATTTAGAATGACTAATTCCACTTTTTACAATTGATCCTTCCTTGTGTGGACCATCCATTTCTGCCAGGCCATTGTGAGAGAATTCTACAGCAGACTGCTCCCTATTCCCGGGGCTCCTGGCGGGCGGCTGGTTTGTTGGCTGGCAGGGCCCCTCCCTCATCATCATCTGATTAAGTATCACATCAAGGCCCACTCTCAGCCACTGCTCAGCTGCTGCTTCTAGGCAATTTTCTGGCAGCTCAGATGCGTCCAATTTCAAAATCTCCCCCCCAGTTTCTCTATTGGCTGTACATGCCTGAGAACTGGACTGTCCTTTGAGTACGCTCAGACTTTCCTGAGTATTCTGATGACAAAATGGGTAGAGATGTAACAAAGTAGCAGCAATTCATTTTGCTAGAGGCTCAGGGTGCTGTCTAGGTTTTGTGTGTGTGTGTGTGTGTGTGTGTGTGTGTGTGTGTGTGTGAGAGAGAGAGAGAGAGAGAGAGAGGGAGATCTTGGAATGCCTATTCTATATAGTTACTCTGAGAACTCTGAATTGGGACTGACAGATGCTAATCTCAGCCTGGGTCAGTTGCACGAATGTTCTGAGTAAGGAGCTGTGGATGATGATATAAGGAGCATAGAGACGCAGAGAAAGTTGATCAGTAAAGAGGGGTGATGGAGACTGTAACGCCCTATAGGAGAGAGAGCCCGAGAGTGGTAGCTGCCTTCTTGCCAGCATTCCAGGCTCCGCGTCTAGTCCTTTGAGACCTGGCCACATTCTCTCCCTGGGGTTCTCTGACTCTGTTTTCTTAAAATAAATCCTCCTTTTTTGCTTAAGCAAGTTTGATGTTTCTATTACTTTAACCCAAGGAACTTTGATCATAAGAGAATAACGTTGATTTAATTCTATGATGGATTTAAGTGATCATGTTAGCCTAGATTCCTGTTCCTAGTAGATTCATGAGGATATTCTTGGAGACTTCAAGGTTCATGTAAAAATAGGTAAACAAACTTTATTCACAATTTCCTGAAGTGATGCCCAATATTAGAGTGAAAGTGAAAGGGTTCATTCTTTCTATATTGTTTATTATATGGAAAATAATATTTAATATGTATTTTGTTATCAGACAATGCTGCATTTTAGCATGCATCTTGGCATTGAATGCCAGTTTATTCTTCCTCTTCAATCTATTATTGTACCTCCCTGAGTCTATTTTCTGATTTATTATATATACAATGGGAATAATTTCTTCTTCTCAGGGTTGCGAGAATGAAATGCACAACATATGTCAAGTGCCTGGCTCATAGCTGATGTTCATTTCAGCACAGTGAACATTTATTGAGTGTTTGTGTTATGTCCCGATAATAATAGCTAAAACTTAAGTAGCCCTCAGTCTGTGCCAGGCACTACTCTATCCTCTTTGTATATTGACTTATTTTATTCTCACACCAACCCCACGAGGTATGTAGCACAACTGTGTGTGTCCGATCCTCTGCCCTCTGCACTCACCCTTCTTTCCTCCACTGCTCTTACCACTTCCCATCTCTAGCAACTGGCTTCTCTGTCTGACTGCTGGATCCTGCTGAGCTTGCAGGTGGAGAGAGTAGGAGCAGAACTCAGACTCAAACCTGGGCAACCTGGCACTGGAGCCATGTGCCACACACAGTGCTACACAGACATAACTTGTTTTATTGAGCTTCACTTTATCATGCTTCACAGCTGTTGTGCTTTTTACACATTTGGCAATAAAGTATTTTAAAATGAAGGTATGCACATTGTTTTTTAGACATCATGCTATTTCACACTTAACAGACTATAGTATATTGTCAACATAACTTTACACACACTGGGAAACCAAAAAATTTGTGTGACTTGCTTTATTGCTATCTTTGTTTTATTGTGGTGGTCTGGAACCAAACCTGCGATATATTTGAGGTGTGCCTGTACTGCCTTTTCCAGACTAAGCAGGACACAAGGAGGTCAAATCCAAACCAGAAATGTGTGCCTTATTTCTTCGTTGCTGGGGTTAGGGAGAATGGAATCGTGCACAATAGTATTTCAGAGCTTAGGTCTAGAAGTCTACCCCTTCATTTCTTGTAGGAGAAAAGTAATGCTCAGAGACGGAAAGACTTGAATAAGGTCACAGTATTTGCTGCAGATTAGAAATGGGATTAGATATAAACTCATTTTGCATATTTTTGGGGCAGTTTTATTTTATTTATCTATTTATTGAGACAATGTCTTGCTCTGTTGCCCAAGCTGGAGTGTAGTGGTGCAATCACAGCTCACTGCAGCCTTGAACTCCTGGGCTCAAGTGATCCTCCTGCCTCATCAAGCTGAGTAGCTGGGACTACAGGTGTGCACCACCACACTCAGCTGATTTTTTAATTTTTTGTAGAGACAGGGTCTTGCTATGTTGCCCAGGCTTGTCTTGAGCTCCTGGCCTCAAGTGATCCTCCCACATTGGCCTCCCAAAATGCTGGGATTACAGGAGCCAGCCACAGTGACTGGAGACAGCTTTTAAACTTCAAAATTTACATGTTATCTTTTGTGTCATACCTGACATTGTAATAAAATCAGTTGTTCAGGTTATTAAAATTGCAAGAATTTGGGCATAGGAATCAGCTGTGTTTCGGAACTGTAACTGCTGTGGCCAAATGAGTGAGGCTGGTGATGGCAGAGGAGTTGGCAAATCAGCTGGACAGGATTCAGTGATGTCCAGTCCCTGACTGCATCAGGCTGTAGTCAGTGTAGAACTCAGATGTACTTTTAAAAAATGTAGGGATGAATCACATTCTCATTTAAGATTATTTTAAATATCTTCTGGGAAGAATAAGTGACAAGAGTGAATCTCCATTGGAGAAAACAGAAAGAAATTCAGTTAATATTTTTAAAGTCACCCTATACACATAGACAGACATTGATCAATTAATCTAAGGGAGATTACACAATGAACACTTCACTTGCAACTCTTGGTACCTTAGGCTGACAGTGCTGTGTCCCCTGTTCCAACACCTTTTCATTAGGCCGTAAATACCTTAGTGACCAGTTGTGCTCTGTGTTCATGCTTTTAGTCTTCAGTTCTTTAGTCCCCAAAAGAATTTCAAACACTGTTCTATCTCAGTAACTTCCAGCCTCTCTACAATAAAGAAACTCAGTTAATATTTTTAAAGTCATCCTGCATACATGGACAGACGACCACAACAATGTGGTAGTACTTGGTTAAGCATCTTCCCAGCACTCTCTCATTCCATTCTCTCAACAACTTTATAAGGTGGGTACTATGATGAGCTACATTTTAGAGATGAGGAAGATGAGGAAGTTGAGGAATATAGAGGTCTTCCAGATTATAAGTGATGGAGCTGTGATTCTAACCCAGGCAATTTAACTAAGCAACGGTGGGTAACCTCTCGTCTTATACATATTCGTCTGTTTGAGGCAGTTTCAAGGTTTCTGTGTTCCACAGTCATGAGAAGGGACATGGGCTAGACTCCTTCTTTACACACTGTGTTTCATTTAATCTGCCCCAATTCTGCAAGTTACTTCCTGCACATTTTGTAGATGAAAACACAGGAGCTTGAGCAGACAGTGCATGCCCAGAGCCCCCCCCCAGCTAGTAGGAGCCGAGTCGCAGTTAACCCAGATTTGCCTGACTCCAGGGCTGGCATCTTCAGCCCCTCTATAGCACTGCCTTTCTCCATGGCTCTCTCTGGTCATATATTTTTAAGAGGGCTTGAATAAATTGTTGATTAAATAGAAGAACAAAATACTTCATTATACTTTGTTTAAACTTAGTATGGGAAGGCTTTGTAAAATGAAGTGGGCGGTGGGGGCCAGGGTGGCACACATTGTGAACTTTACTTTTCTCCGAAACATTGGTAATAGCATAAGAAGATACAGAATAAAAGGAAGGTAGCTTTGAGGAAGTTTGCTGAGCTGGCAGGAAGAGAGTGAGTGGGGAGCCTCGTTTGGCCAATCAGGCTAGGGGAGTTTCAACCCACAAAGGGAAGATCATGGTTGAATCTTTAGTGTTTATGAATCTGGAGGATACTTCTCTTTCATGTGGGTTTCAGAGAGGGCTTGACTCATTCCAGAAGGAATTTATTTAGTAGAGTTGGGAAAGGCCTGTGTTATTCGTAGCCCAGAGATGCTATGTGTTTTAAAATTTTGTAGCACCTCTTCAGCTTGAACTTCAGTGTAGAAAACACTGGGCTCAGGATCAATCAGAATTTAAAGGCTAGAAATTACTGAGATAGAACAGTGTTTGGAATTCTTTTGGGGACTGAAGAACTGAAATTCTGCTGCCTCTTGCCTCAGGCAGTTCTGCTGTCTCCTCAGGCTCATGTACCACTGTAACTTAGGAAACTGCTGTCCTGCTGCCTTTCTAGCTAGAAGAAGTCTTAGCTGAAAGTCAGCTTTGGTCATGATTGTAACCTATAATAGCTTGTATATTCATAATGACTTTGTTAAGGGAAACTTATCTCTGGACCTGTGAGTCAATGGTTTTTGTTTGCTTGTTTTTGTTTTTTAAAGTAGTAGTTTGGAGCCAGGTCCTCTTATTCTATTAGAATGGATGAAGTGCATATTTTTATGAAATGGATCTCTTCATACTCACAAAGTCCAGAAATAGAATCCAAATGACTCAGGCAGAAAAATATTATTTAGTAATTTCTTTAAAGTACAGGAGCCATACCGTTAAACCTCCTGGCTGCCTATTTCATAGGTAGAAATCTTGCCAGTTGCTCTCTAAAGCTAGCATACTGAGTCAATGTTTCAGGTTGAGCAAGATCTCAGGGTCCACCCATGTGGCATTTTACAAAAATAGATAATGAAAAGAGGGAATCAGCCAACAAAGATAAAATTGAGCAGAGAAATGAAAAGTGATCATCTTGGACATAAAATTCAAATCAAACTTAAGTGGAGTTTTAGAAGGAATAACTGACTGGAGAGACTGTTCACACTGTTACTCTTGTTAGTACAGGAGACTCTCAGTGTGCAGCCAGAGGTCCACAGAGGTTGGCATTTGACATGTGTAATGGGGCATTATTTTTAGAAGCCATTTGATTGTTATAATGTACCAGGCATTTATCAGATTGACAAGCACTTGGACAGTCAATAAAAGTAAAAAATTTGGAAATGTCATTTGAATGTTTGAGGCCTCTAAAAGTATAGAACAGTCAATAAGAAGTAAAAAGTTGGAAATGATCATTTGAATGTTTGTGGCCTCTAAAATTATGTGATTAATTCACATCCTAAAATCCTACTTTGTGAAATAATTTATGGTCTGAATAAACACAACTATAAATCACCCTTTTCATGTCTGATGGGTGGATGGAGTATAATTTCTTTTTTCACTCTTTGAGTGGGGGGTTGAGTGTGAGGTTCAATGAGAGAAGAGTTTAGTTTTGTATTTTTGACTTTACATTTGCAAATGACGTTTCCTTGGACTTGAAGTGAATATGTGTGATAAATATGTGGCATTGTTAATAGACTGTGTAAAAATATTCTTGTGCATAGAACCATGCATGGATGATCATATATGTATACACATTTCTACATGAGATTGTTAATGGACTGTTTTAAACTTTTACATGTTTGGAGCATTGCTTAAAATGTTTGCAATTTGGTAGCTGATCAAAGCCTTGAAGGCTTTGTGTAAATCAATAGAGCTGGCATGACCAGTGGAGAATCTGAGGCCAAGGGAGGTTTTGTTTGAAGAATGGCACTGTTGCGGGGCTTGCCAGCCAGACTGTGAAGAATGCACTTCTGTTTTTGCCTCCCTACTGTACCTTCTTTTATCCCCTGCCTGTCCTCTAAGGACGTGTGGAATTCTTCCCAGCCCCATTCTGCTTAACCTTGCTTCTGATCTTTCTATTCAGCCCTTTAAGACTCTCACACACATAAACATCTTTCTCTGACAACATGCCCATGTAAACTGATTCCAAGACCCAGCCTGGTTTGCATGCAGTTAGCTTGGCTCATGTATCCTGAAGGGGGCTGCCTTGGGTTGAACACATAAGGCCCTTGAAGTCATGCCAAGCAAAAACACTGGCAGCAGGACAAAACCTAAAGAGCTGAGTTGGCTACCTGTCGTAAAATGTTCATGTGTCAAGCTGCTACTCCAGTCTTAGGCTCATTGTAGTCTGACACTTCCCAGAGTCAAGAATTGCTAATATTTATTTCTCACTTTGTTTGAAATGAAACTTTTGGGGTTAAATTGGTTTTGGTCACAATGTACTGATTTTATTTTATATCTGGAGAGAAGGTCTAATTACAGATGGCTACCTTTTCATTAATTTTATGAGCAAATCGTGGTAAAGAAACACACTATAAAAGTAACAAAAAAACTAATGACACAATAATTATAATACTTTTCCAAAAGTAATATTTAATATTTGAAGAATAATTCTCACTTGTTAAGGAAATAATTTTCCTGCTTGCACTTTAAATTAAAGATGATAATAAAATGTGGATTGGAAATGAAATCCTCCAGTGTTGTTTTGTGGGTGATTTTTAAAAATAATTAATGAAACAACTAATTTTGGATACAGATAGCAACCTCTGTGATGGGAAAACAGCACAAAAAGTGTAGCACAAAATTAACAGTTTCCATGACGCAAGACATTGCTTTTTCTCTAGACACAGATACCAGCGGCACCTGGATGGATGAAAGGGACCCTTCTTTGCCAGAGGAATAGGTTATCTTTTTGACTCTAAGATGCATTCCAACTTCAAGATGTTGAAATATATAAAAAAGTGTTAAAATCCATAAAATCTGGTCAGTCGGTCTTGGAACTGGGGTAGAATTTTTGAAGCTTTAAAGGGCTTGACAAGTCTTGTTTTTTTCACAGTGAAGGGTCCCTGCCATCAGTCCAGGCGCCTTGGTAGTTATGTCAAGATAGAAAGCAATATTTTTCAGGGGCTTGGATTCTTTCACATTGTGGGCATCCTCAGGGGTTCTGTATAGAGGGAAGCTAACAGGTGGTGATTTTGATAAAGAAAAATGAGAATAACAATATCTACTTCTTTGTGTTGGTGTAGAAATTAAGTTAGATGACTCTAAAAAGTCCTGGTGTATAGTAAGAGCTCAATTAATATTAGCATCTATCCCCTCTAATCTGAAAATAGGAAAGTAGGAAACATACACAGAAATTTCAAATTTTATAATTGTTCATTTACATACCCATTACCCATCTCCAACTTTTGCCTCAAACTGTACTACATATTTTTATTTCTCCAGTGCCTAGAATATTGCTTGGCATACAATTTATAAAGTCATTGTTGAATTAATAAATAGGTAGTGGAAGATAACATAGGATATGTAGATTGGAAGTAAATTATGGATGAATAGACTAGAAAGCCATGGAAAAAATCTTTTTCATTCACTATTTAGTAAATGTTTATTTTCTTCCCCCAAAACTTGGTTCTTAGAATCATTCATGTCCTAGACTAAAAACTTTGGGGATTGTGTCCAACTCTACCTTTTTCTTGTGCAAAATCTTCTCATGTGTGCCTTCAAATTTTTGGATTTACATTTCCTTCTTTATTCCTGTTTATCCCTCCCTGTCAAGAGCCTCAACACATGGATTACCTCAGAAGCATTCTAACTTCCATCCTGGCCTTTGGCATCTTTCTCTCTGTCTTAAACCTCTCTATGTGAGATTCAAGACTAATCTTTCTAGAAGATTCATTTGAGTATTGTATGACCAGGCTCAAATTTGTATCTCATCCTTAATCACCATGTCCTCCTACTTAACAAAACAAATCCAACTCCTTAATGTGACAGTCAGGATTGTCCACTGTGGAGAGCCCATTGTATTTAGCCTATCTTATTTCTTTCCACACACACCATCAATGTTCCACTCCAGTCAGATTTGTATACCTTTTTTCCCTCTATATCCTCCCAAATCCAAATACTTCTTCCTGCCATTTGACTTTGCTCATGCTTACTTCTTTGAAATCTCCCCTCTTCCTCCACACTTTTCTAAATCCTATTCATGTGCTCAAGTCCATTTTCTCCACCAAGCCTTCTCCAGTTATCTCAGTCCATGTTGACTTTTTCGCCTGTTTGAAAACTTCTGGAGTTATTTTTAACTGCTTTACATTTGTCAATTTTGCTTCTCCTACTAAACTGTAAGACCCTTAAGGCCAAGTACCAGAGCTTACATATCATTTGCGTTTCTCTCAACACAGAACCAGGAGTTTATCAGAGGAATTGAAAATGTTTTGTTGTTGTTGACAAACTGAATTAGGGGACCAGTTAAGATGACTGAGCAAGGAACTCTATCCAATGAGAAAAGTGGTTCTCTAGGAACACAGCATGGTCCAGTGTGGGGAATGCAGTGGAATGGAGGGAAGGAGAATTTGTGTCAGAATAAGACATTTTAGGCAAATTTGTGAATAATTTTGTGAATGCTGCTGAAAGTTACCTGAACTTTATTTCCAAATGCATAGATGGTCAAGGACATAGTGCAGAAATACTATTAAAATATCCTCTGTGTCTCAAGATGTGAATCTGGTAATGGTTTGAACCCCAATTTCATTTATACTTTTTCTGAGGCTTTTCAAAACTGTTACATGCAACACTGTATTCTGTGAGAAAGTAATAGTTTTTGTCTTGTTTGGCTTTAGTTTTTTAGGCTCAATATATTTGGGAAATGTGATTAGCCACATTTGATTTTTTTTCTGCAGAAATGCTGTCTTTAGCTTGCTAATGAACCATTATGAATCTCTAGATTCATGACGATGAAACTCCTCCTTCTCTTTTTTTGTGTGGAATATATATTACTATCACAAGGAGTACTGATGCTCCACAGAACACAATTTAGGAAATACAATTGTAAAGGTCAAAGACTTTTCAATTGTTTGATTAACACTAGCCTTTTTTATAATTCAGTGTAAGTAAATTTAACTTGTCCCTAATTAGGATATTGTCCCTTCAAATTTCCTAAATGTATATGGCATTCAGATGGTTAACAAAAGTCAAGCTGCTCAAAGGTAAATTCATGGGAAGCTTTTGCAATGGGCAAGCTGAACTCTTTCCTACAATTGTGCCATCATGCTAGCAGCTCTAATGTATCAAGCTTAAAATATTGCCAATTTTGATGTTCAAATTGCTATTCTAGAGCAATTGGATTTGCAAACCAGGAACTGGTAAATGGATGTTGGATAAAGCTCACAATGGAGACATAAATGCTTTTTGGCACTATGACTTGGCATGGATAGATATCAAAGCTTATTTGCTCATTTTTCCCTGAACTGGAGGCATTTTAACCTATTTAAAGTTCTAGATTTTCAGAGTCAATGTTCTATGAGTTCATTATAAATCTGTGCCATAATAACCTTCTGGGAAGCTCAAGGATTTCAATTATGTACTTCAGTTCTATTATTTTTTAAAGTCCAGTATTCCATTCCTCTTTTGGGTATCCAACACTGCATCACCATGGCATGACCACCATCAGCACTTCTACTACTAAAAATACCATTTAATGAACCCTCCTACAAGCCAGACCCTGTGCTAACAATATTACACTTGTGTTCTTGCTTATATTATCTCTCAGTACTCACAACAATTATTTGAGATAGGCTTTTACATGTGAGGAAACTGAGTTTGTGAGAGATTAAATAACATTTGAACTCAGTTCAATCAGATTTCAAAAGATATACACTTAACCGTTGTAATCCATGAGTTTAGGCATAGTCCCTAGGAGGTGGATATACACATTATATGTATAAGAAATCAAATATGTTCTCATTCAGGTACCCCTTGGCCAAGATGGACACAGATTCCTTTCATCATATGTTGGTTAGCTAGGTTCTCATACCAAGTCCAGAAACCATTGGATATCAAATATAGGCGGTCCCTACTTTGCAAGATTCTATATGAATAAGTTTCAGTTACCATGGCTTACTTAATCAACAGCAGCCTCCCAAAAATATAGTTCAAATTTCATTCACTATGGCATATTAACTGTGAATAATTGCATAAAGTAGAAACGTTGAGGCTGGCTCTTCAGTCTACCAATCACTATGTAAATAACAGGTATGCATTATGATCAGTGACCAAGCACATCATTTCTTTCAAAATCTGTCAGTGATTTGTCTCAGAGGATCTGTTATTCAGCTCATGCGCAGACAGTAAAGTGTCTAGTTGCATTGCCTCCTTATCTTTTTTCTTTTCACTCACCAAATATTTATTGCATACTCACCATGCTGCATACTAGACATAAAGTCGTAAACAAGACACCCTCAGAGGGGCAGATGCATGGTTTGGGAGACTGATGAACCCATGTGGCATTTTACAAAAATAGACAATGAAAAGAGGGAATCATCCAACAAAGATAAAATTGTAGCAGAGAAATGAGAAGTGGTCATCTTGGACGTGAAATTCAAATCAAACTTAAGTGGAGTTATAGAAGAAATAACTGACTGACAGACTGTTGATACTGTTACTGTTCAAGAGACTTTCAGTATGCAGCCCGGGGAACTTAGTGAAAGAAAACTTATTGACATCAATGAGGGAAGTGGTTGTGATGAAAAGGATAAACATCTCCCCACAAAGTGACATTAGCAAAAAATTTTACATTAAAATAACTTTCAGAGATACTTCACAACATTGGCATCACAAGAGATAGGAAGCTATCATTTACAAAGGTTGGAAGCTGCTCTATCCTTAGGAGGGGTAATTTATCAAGACATAGAAAAGATGCTTATGTGTATGTGAGAAGAAGGCAAGTACTGTTATATCATAATGAGTTTTGACAAAGGAATAAAACATAAATATTTCTAATGTTTTTAATTATGGTATACTAGGTAAATATTAGTTTTACTATTTTTCACTTTATTATGCATTTATGACTTAGAGTAAGGGAGTTTTTAACATTTTGACAGAAATTTTTATGTGTCATGGGACCATCATATTTTTTCTTCTTCATTATTAAGATTGCTTTGCATGATTTCAGCTTGTAAGATCTTTTTTCATGGTCTCAAACTACCATACAAAGTGAGGACTGCTGGCATATTAAAAATGGTGCCCATACCTCTACACCACAGAATACTACGCAGCCATAAAAAAGATGAGTTCATGTCCTTTGCAGGGACATGGATGAAGCTGGAAACCATCATTCTAAGCAAACTATCACAAGGACAGAAAACCAAACACCACATGTTCTCACTCGTAGGTGGGAGTTGAACAATGAGAACACATGGACACAGAGTGGGGAACATCACACACTGGGGCCTGCTGGCGGGTGAGGGTCTGGGGGAGAGATAGCATTAGGAGAAATACCTAATGTAAATGACGAGTTGATGGGTTCAGCAAACCAACATGGCACATGTATACCTATGTAACAAACCTGCATGTTGTGCACCATGTACCCTAGAACTTAAAGTATAATAATAATAAAAAAAAGAAAGAAAAAAAAGAAAAACAGAGAAACATACCAGGGAATGTGAGGAAGAGGTTACCTACTGGAATGCCTCATCTCTAATTAAGTATTGGAATTAATTATCCTTTGCCAGGTAACTATGCCAACTTTTAGTCTGTTTAAAAAAAAAAATAAACAGGAAATGGTAAAAAAAAAATAAAAAAGTGCCCATATAATTAATATTGTCAGATACTATCACTTTAAATGGGAAACTATGATCAATATTTATGCTATATTTCCTATGCTGAGCTGTAGTAAAAGACTTCACAAACCAGAAAAGATACTGAGAAAATATCCCGAAAAAAAGTTTTGAAATTGTTCATTGGTTGATGAAAATCAATTACGTGGGACTATAGGGACTCTATAGAAAGGTGTATAATGCAGGTTGAGCATCCCTAATCCAAAAATCTGAAATCTGAAATGCTCAAAATCCGAAACTTTTTGAATGCCAATATGAGCCATAAGTAGAAAATTCTATACCTGACCACTTATGACAGGTCACAGTCAAAATAAAGCCAAACCTTTGCTTCATGCATACAATTATTTACAATTATTAAAAATACTGTATAAAATTGCCTTCTGGCTGTGTGTATTAGGTATATAATGAGACAAAAATGAATTTTGTGTTTAGACTTGGGTCCCTTCCCTAAGATGTCTCATTATGTATATACAGATATTCCAACATCCAAAAAAGTTCAAAATCTGGGACACTTCTGGTCCCAGCACTTCAGGTAAAGACTACTTAGCCTATATATAAACAATGTTTCCCTACTAATATTCTGATGCCACAATTACTATTCAAGATGTGGCAATTAAAGAAGCAACTTTGCCAAGGGACTAGGGAGGTAATCCGAGCCCCACTGGAAATATCGGACTCTATCTGCACTACAGCGTGAGACTAGAAATGCCACTGTTAGACTGCGAATATTCTTTTTAGGATGAAGTTACCTCCATAATGTCTTCATCATATTCAGTAAAACCAGGCAGAGCTGGGATGAGGGTGTGGCTGATGGAGTCGATGCCTTGGGCTAATTGGCTGACTATTCACTGTCATTCATTCAACCAATAATTTCTACCAATAGTTTCTACCACATTCAAGCCTTGTGGTCATGGGTGAATAACTCAGTTATCTCTGTTTTTTCTTGTGAGGGGGTCTTGATCACATGGATCACATATTTGAAATAATAGCAGGCAAACCCCAGCTACAATTACATAAATTCTTCACTTAATGCAGAGAGTTGTTTAGGAGATGCCATTTTGGAAGATTCAACAAATACTTTGATAATTTTTGCATATGACTAAATCCTGGGGAAAATATTCTTCTTTATTTGTGGACAGAGCTCGTCAGAATAGATTCAGCTTGCCAGTTGTATTGGACCCATTTTATACATCACTCCAGATCTGCCTTGCCCCATCTGCCTGTCTCCTTCCCTCAGTCCCTGGTCATTTCCCTGCTTCCCCGACAGATCCACTCCAGGGAAAGCTCACACTGTTCCTGTGATTGTAAAGCCCTCATTGCCCCAGCCTCATTTTCTAATGCCTGTGGCTGTTCTAGCCTCCCCTGTGGATGAGGGCCAGGCTGCGGCATAGTGTTCACTGAACCTGTGGGGAAATGCAGCAGTGAAGGTGCCCATTTCTGACCCAACCTGATGTGTGTGGGGCTCTGGCTTCCCCAGTGCCTGCCCTGGGGGGCCTAGAACACATGACTGGCAAACATAGGGGAGCTAACACCCCAACGAGGAACTCTGACCAATAAAAGACAGAGACAGAAAGGAGCCAGTGGACACTTGCTTGCCCTTCTTCTCTCTGACAGGCTATTCTAAGATGCAGTGGTTTTCTTTAGCCTCACTGGAAATATCCAGCATGACTAAGCTACCAGGGATGCGGTGTCAACTTGGGAACATATGACCTTGTGTCTGCTTTCCCTCTTTCCCTGCCTAGATTCACCTCCTATGCTTGCTTCCCTGGGATTCCCTCAATAAAGCATTAACATTGAGATTTGCCTTATGCCCTTTTTTCTCGGAACCCAAGCAAAGATACCAGTGTCTGCTAAACATAATCAAGGGCTAGTCTTAAAACACTCTGGTAGCCTATAAGGACGCTGGCTTATGTCATTACTAGTTATGTTTTTACTAGTTTCTTAATCTGTTACCAAAAAACCCTTAAAACCCAACAGACAAAACAAAACAAACACCTCCACACAGAAAAAGCCATATTTATTTGATAAATCCTACTTTGTATACCATATGATTAATACTAATCCCTTTTGAGGGTTTAAGATGGCACTATCCCAAAGGCAATGTTGATTAGAGAAAGTATAAGCATATATAAGCTATCACAAAAATAAATATGAGTACACCTAAGCCTCCAAAGATTTCCAGGTAATGAATGAAATGGTTTGTCAAAATGTTTCATTCTGCTATTAAAGCCATTAATAATGATAATAAGAATTATTTGTATGAGACCAGATAGAGAAGACAGATCACTCCAAAAATTAAATTTTAGAGAATTGTAGTTGTCTTTACTTCTTTTTCCTGGTCCATGAGGCTCCACCGTCAGCTGCCTGAGGAGCTCACAGAGAGGAGGCACCTAAATTAACCTAGACATAATTATTCAAAATAATTTTCATTGGAAAAAGCCATCCCATTTCAAAGGATAAGGAAAGGCAATCAACCTATCGTTCTGTAGCACAGCTGACAAGGTGCACAGGCCTTAATAGGTCAACACACAGATACTGTGCCACATAAAAATGGGTTCTCTTCCCTGTTACTGCCTTCTGGTCCTGAAAACCATTAATCCTATTAATTGCGTATCAAAAGACTGGTAGCAATTCTACAAATGAGTAAACACAGAGATAAAAGTGTAATCATACTAGTCCAGCAAATTGGATTCAGGTCTTCATTGAACAATCCTATTTCAATTCAGCAATTTTATTATCACTGTTACTGGAACAAATCACTTTATTAAACAGAAGAAGCTTTTGTGGAGAAATTTCTTCTTGTGGGCAACATTATGAAGCGCTCTAACATAAAAACAGCACTTATACTTGTCAAGGGATTTCTTTAGGCAATTCGACTAATGGCTTGTGACAGGTAGGACTTGAAATGTTCATTCAAGCCTTCCATTTTGCTATGCAGCTGTATTTTTTTTTCTTTCTAAGGAAAAAAAGGTCTTTTCGATGCTTTTAGTGGAATTAATATTTTTAGTAAGGAGTTTGCTGACAAGAGGATCTTTCTCTCTCTCTCTTTCTCTCTCTCTCTGTCCCCCCCAACACCTCCCTCCCTTCCTCCCTTCCTCCCTCCTTCTCTTCTTCCCACCCTCCCTCCTCCTCTCTGGAGGCAGTGGAGTTTCAGGAACAAAAGCATTGCAGAATAGAGCAGCATTTATTTGTATTTAATTAAGGTAGACCATTCCCTAGGAAATTTTGCACAGGGACCCTTAAAATATTTGAACAACTCATCCTATTCCTAGGCTAGACTAGAAAATGGACAAAAATGAAATGATGATCAACCATGAGCTTGCTTTCTAAATTCCCTGAGGCAAGTAGGACGCTGGGGAGTTGAGACAAGAGGCAGGAATGGAGTCTGGCCCCGTAGCGGCTGTGGGGCTTGGAGCTGAGGGAATCAAAGACAAAATCCTAGGGAAACGGTGGAATCAGGACTCACCAGGCTGATTTAAAACAATGCTACCCAATAAAACTTTCTGTGATGATGAGAATGTTCTCTGTGTGCTGTCTATTATGGTAGCCACTGACTGTCAACCTGTGGCTGGGATCTCTCAAAATGTGGCTAGTGCCACTGAGGAAATAAAATTTTAATTCTATTTGATTGTATTTAATTTCAGCTAATTTAAATTTGGATATTGGCTATCACATTAAATGGCAAGGTCTAAAGTGTTAGAACTATGAGGTCTAAGCTGAAAAGTAAAAACTTTCTTCAGAGAGAAAGGTCTTTAATAAGATTTGGCAAGACATGCTGAAATGTTCAGGAGCATGAGAAAAGGTCGAAAGATATCAGTAGAAACTGAAAAACTCGCACATGAAACATTGACATTTGGTCATTGATTAAAATAATACTTCAAAAAATATTAAATATAGACCTAAGCAGACTAAATCCCCCTATAATATTAGGTCTTAATAAACTGAATATCCCTTAAAATGCTGTTCTAGAGACAGAATCAAATTTGGTCAACCAAGGCCACAGATCCAGCACAGATTGCTGTAAACTTTAAATAGTCAAAAAAGATTATTTTTTGATCAGTAAACTTGATAATTATGAATTGAACATTTGACAAATTGATTTTTTTAAGCAAATTGGTTACTTTGCATATTGATCATTTGGTAAAACGGCTTTCAGTGAATTGGGCAGCTGTTCTCATCTCTCATCATCAAGCATCTCCAGGATGTTTGAACTGTCCCTCAAATATAGGAAAGCCCATTCTTTTCCATCTTCCTTTGCCTGGGAAACTCCTACATATCATTAAGATCCAAGTACATGCCACCACCTCTGTAAAGTCCACCCAGATTTCCCCACCCCACGTCCATAGGCAGAACTAACTGCTAATTTCTGTGGGTTTCCAGAGGGATTGGCAACTGTGAGGATGAGATAAGCCTAGAACTGCTGGTGTCATTTCTGCTCAACAGTGGAGACTCTGCCTGAAAGCAATAGAACAGGTAGGAAAGCTGAGTCAAGAGATGAAGAAAAAAGGACAGATTGCTGATGACAACATCTTAATACCTGGATCTTGCCATGTCTCACAATTTCCAGTTATATGGAAAGTTTTTTCCCTTTTTGATTAAGACATTTTCGATTGTTTTTTTGTTGCTGAAACTAAAAGCATCCAACCAATGCAGACATATCTGTGTTTAGAAAGTTGAAAGTCATATTCTCTTGAAATCTGCTTGTAACTTCTTCCCTTTGGCCCTAGTTCTGCATCCACTTCCCCATCTGTGTGATACGAGGCTGCCATATACCTCCATGTCTTAGATTACCTGGGATAAACACATCCCGGTGTAATCTCATGAACCAGTAGGCTGCAGTGCCAGGTAGCGAAGCATGGGGGAGTGCACACCTGAAGATTGTCTGGTTCTATTCTGTTCCACTCTTCCTGAGACAGGGTCCACCTTGAGCACATTGCAGAGGTGGGTGCAGTTTTCTGTGAAAACCATATGTGTTATAGTTTTCTGTTAAGGACTCAGGCTCTCGGATCAGGCTGCTTAGGTGAAAATGCCTGCTCTGTCATTTAGCAGCTGAGTGACCTTAGCAAAATTACTTACCCTCTTAATGTCTCATTTTTCACACCTGAAAATGGGAATATTGGTGAATGCACTACCTCATAGAGCTGTGGAGGAATTCGTGAGGCCTTAACTATTGTTAGCTCTATGACTACCTTTCAGGGTACTTGATGTGAGTTCCTGCCCCTCCCTAACCCCCTGAGGAATGCTCGAGGTGGGCCCTGTCTCATGAAGAGGGGCACAGAATAGAGCTGGACACCCTGCAGCTGTGCACTCCCCTGCTGTCAGCTACCCGGCACTGCTTTATCCTTCAGTCTGCTGCCTACTAGTTCATGAGGTTTTTGTTTGTTTGTTTGTCTTCTGAGATGGGGGAATCTCACAATGCCTCCCACAATGTTGTCCAGGCTGGTCTCAAACTTCTGGATTCAAGTGATCCTCCTGCCTCAGCCTCCCAAGTAGCTAGGACTATAGGCGTGAGCCACCATGCTCAGCTAATTCATGACCGTTTAAAAGCTTTATCCAATCAGGGCAAGTTGCCCCACTTAGGCTAATCTCAGACAGCTTTGAGACAGAATTTCACCCTGGACTAAAGTAAAGGAGCTGTTAAAATGACCTAGATGAAGGAAGAGGCACGAAGCCAGATTGCATTTACCATGGAAGACTTAAAGGAAAGTACAAAAAGGAAGGTAAGAGGATGTGCCAACATTTGAAACCACTCTTCTCTTCTAGTTTTATTTCTCATGTTTGGACTCCTGCCATTGCCGATACCTCTGTTATTTTCTAAATTTTGTAATGTGGTGGTAGCAGATGCCTTAAAACACTGCAAAAGAAATACCCTTCCCATAGTAAAACGACACCCAGGTTTGGGATCTTTCTCTCTGGTTTCAGAGTTAAGATCTCCTTCTTCTTAGGCAAGATGTTTAATTTCTTTCTCTCACCTATAAAATGGGATGGTGATAATACAACCTCACAGAGTTATGTGAATATTAAATAAAGTGATGCAAGAGAAGAAGCTGTAAGAACATTTTATGTGCTTATGTTATTAATTCTAGTTTCCTCTAGTTTTAGCAGAGTTTCTGCCAAACTTATTTTGTATGGGCTCTGCACCACATACATAATCTCTATACACAGATGCTGCTTAGTGAGAATAGCTACACAGGTGTGCACCCGGAGCTCATCCATGAGAAACCTCCCCCAGAAGTTTCAGATAGATATAAGAGAGGAAAGCAATTGGATTTTAGTAATTTGCACTAGAGTGTGAATGATTGATAGACTTCTCTCACTCTTCCCAGTGATGCTTACTTGTTAATGCAAATGAGTCTCTTACTTCTGAACTGAGCCAGGCAGTAGGAAAAGACTCTTTTTCTTAAATCACACGATGAGGCCCTTTGTTCTTATTTCTTTTTGTGTGCAAAGCAGATCCTGAGAGAGAAAATGGGAACATGAGTAGAATCATTTAGGGTTTGTAGAACTGAAATTGGGCAGAAGAGTCATCTGCCCTGAAATACCTTGGAATAATTCTGGATCCATTATTAAGAGAGATGAGAAATGGCATTGGAATGAGAGGAAATAAGAGTTGTGGCTTCCAGTCCCCAGAGGGGGATGATGTTGAGTTGGTTCTGCTTCAGTGTAACCATGGCCACCCCGATCTGTTCCTGTCTCCTACGGTGAAGAGGGGACAGCACAGCCCTAAGGTAGCCTGAATGTTTAACCCATCTGGGTTGTGAGCACCTTTGATTCTCTCAGCTGGAGAGTTGGGCAGGCTGGTGCCTCTGAGATTTAGATCTAAAATCTTCAAGAGAATTTAGGAATCAGGCCAGGTGCAGTGGCTCACGCTTGTAATTCCAGCACTTTGGGAGGCCGAAACTGTGGATCACCTGAGGTCAGGAGTTCAAGACCAGCCTGGCCAACATGGTGAAGTCCCATCTCTACTAAAAATACAAAAAAAAAAAAAAATAGCTGGGCATAGTGGCACACACTTATAGTCCTAGCTACTCGGGAGGCTGAGGCAGGAGAACCTGGGAGACAAAGGTTGCAGTGAGCTGAGATTGCGCCACTGCACTCCAGCCTGGGCAACAAGAGTGGAGCTCCATCTCAAAAAAACAAAAAACAAAAAAAAATTTAGGAATCAAATCATGTCTTGTTCTACTCAGCTGCCTTCTCCCATGACCCACCATCTGACTCTAGAAATATTGGCTTACATGGATACTAAGTATAGTCATTATGTGCACTCCAACCCTGATTACCATTCATTATAGCAAACACTCATTCAGTCATTCCATAAGTAGTCTTGTAGGTGTGCACCTGTGTGTGGACAAGGATCGTAGAGGGGTCATTGTGGAAAACAGCATGCTTTGACTTGGCCCTCAAGTCATTTAACTTTCAGTTCTGAAAAACTTGTAATAATGTTTGAGTCAGAACACATCCCCAGATCTCACGCCATGTCTGAAGAGAGGGTCAAGAATGATGTGATGCTGAATAGTGTCTTTAACAAAGATTATTTGGTATTAAAAGGAGGAAAAATGAAAAGAAAATACCACTGCTCCCTTTCCTTTATTAAAATGGCTGTGTCAAAAAAGCTGGATGGGATTGTCCCCTGCTCACACTGTTTCCAGAACCATCCGTGGGTCGCCCCCTCCCCCACCCTGTAGCCTGTTGCTGGAGAAGCCCTGATACTGGGGTCTGCCATCTGAGAGGCCATAGTGGTGGAGAAGCAGACAGGTGCCGATTCGACTTGCCCTTGGATCTCCTCACTTATTCACTGAGTGCAGCTGAGAGCTTATTTCCTGCTGGGCGGTCAAGGGCTGCTTTCACAACTAGTTGTTCTACATTTTTTAGCAGCAGCAGTGTACTGAATCTGCTGCTTTATTGAATTTACAAAAGTTACAGCTGAAAACACCAGCATTTACTGAACGCAAGATACTCTCAAGAGAATTCATTCATTCACTCACTGATTCTTTCAACCAAAATTTACTAAGCATATACTCTGACGGGCATTGGTCTCTAGGTTACTTAAGGTCTCCTAGGAGCATTAAATTCTTTTAGTTTGGATGACATAACAGTTTATTTTTGTCATCCTCAGAGTTTTTATGTGATTTGTTTTTTGTCATAAATGCAAACCAAAACCTCTCATTTTTCCTATCTCCAGCCAAAATTTCCCCAATGATCCAAAAACCTAAATTTTCTTCTGTCAGTTCTTTTTCCAGAAGTACATTATGTTTACCGTAGCTCTGCATTTAGTAAGGGGGCAAGAAATTAACACAATTTGCCTGACTAGAGGAGTATTTAAAAACTCTTCTGTTTGGGGATTGTCATATAATTTCCAGGTTTTCACAGAGGAAATGGAATTAAGATGAAGGTCATCATTAAATTGAAACAAAATTTACTCCTTTTGTAGCTCATCAGCTACTAATTAGTGAGACTCTCACAAGCACGGAACAATACTATAGATTAGGACCTCCTGTCAGCCCTCACACTTAGATCAGAATCCATAAAAAGCCCACTTTCCCAGGGATGGCCGGGGAGCAGCCCTGGGTCTGCCAAGTCTCTGTTATTGAGGATTTATTTAAATATACTTTTAAAAGCATTTTCTCCTTTACAATGAAGACTTTTCTGTGTGTATTTCAGTAGACATTTAAAATCCCATCCATAATCTTTTTGAAATCTTTCCCTCATGAAAATGTCTTGGCTTGAGACCTAGCTAGCATTTCAGTCTCTGAGGAGGGGAGGAAAAGCTGTGAGAAAAAACAATGACATAGAAAGGGACTGCCACTGAGAATAAACACTTTGCCCTGCCTTGGGTGAGTATTGAACTTGGGGAGGGAGGGCATGAGACCCGGAGAAAAGACTGGTGTTCTTGCCCCTGGCTCTTGTGTCTTTCTTGGAATAATTCCAAGGACTTGGAAGAGTAGGGACAGGTCCGGAGAATCTGAAATTTAACGTCTCAATTTGCTCTTCCTCGTTTTCTCTTTTTACCCATCTGTGTGACTGTGTTTATGCATGTTTGTACACTTGTGTGTAATTTTTAATTTTTCCTTTGTTTTCTGCCTTTGGTTTTGAGATTCCAAAACAAAGTTCTAAAGTTACTATTATTGTGTAAAGTTTGACATTGGCAGTCTGAAATTTTGGAGAAAAGACACTCTTTTTCTACTTACAAGGTGATAGCAAGGTTTGAAGGGTTTTTGCCTTTCCCTCAGTCGTATCTCTGATCCATCCATGGTCTCTAAGATGATCCCTTTTATGGTTTGAAGACAGACCCGTGCTGGCAAGACAGTTACCTAGTTATCAAATGTGGTGAGGCCTTGTCCTCCTTATAATATTATGAGTTCAGGATAAGCCACCAAATCAAAGCACTGTGGATGATATTCTTATTTCTTGCTTAAATTCTTCTCATCCATGCACTTCCCATGCCACTATTAAGGAAAGTCTGGAAGAGAGGGGAGGTGCAGCATGAAGAGCTGGGTAGGAACATAAAAGAATCTTGGAGCTGGGTAGGGACATAAAAGAATCTTGGAGAATATTTGCCTGGTGTCAGTTTGCAGAATGACTGAAAGCAGTGGAGAGTGGTGGTGAGGACACAGTACCTGTCTTGTGGGTTCTCCTTTAGAAGGCTCTTGCAAACCTGGATTAGCTTAGTGACAACATGAATGGAAAACAGGAGAGCTAATTTTTTAAGCCAGAAATGATTGACCTCAGTATTAGATTAGATGGAGGGACTGAAAGAGAAGGAGTGAAAGATGATGTTTCTGTTTTTGACTTTGGAGAAAGTAGTTCCCAATCAAGGAGAAGAAGAGTTTACTAATAAGTAATTTATTAAGTGTCCACTCTACATTAATATTGTGCTCAGGCATCGGGGGCACACACAGAAAAATGAAAGCCCTGTTTTCTGCCACAAGACAGCCATACTGTAGTTTGAGATAGTGAAACAATCTGTTACAAGACAGTATAGACTAAAATGACAATAATAATAGCAGTTTCTATTTATCGAAGTTAGTTGTGAGATGGGTCCATTGCTAAGCACTTTCTATTGTTTTTGTCATATTCTCCATACAGACCTAGGACAGTAATGTGATATAAAACTGAATTTTGATAAAAAACAATAACTTTTATGGAGTACTTACTAAGGGCTAGGGGCTGCGTTAAGAGCTTCATAGAGATGCTCATCCCTCTGAGATTGGCACTACAGTGACTCACAGATTGCAGAGAAAATGGGGCTTTAAGACTAGTTCTATGTCCAAGTTACACAGTTAACAAGCTTCTAATAAGGGCTGGGACACAAATCTGGGTCTGCCTAATTCTAAAGCCAAAGTTGTTAATAGACAATGCAATGCTAAATTATCTGAATCAAAAAGAAATATCCCTATAGTCCTAAAATACAGGCATTTAAGATTTTTTAAAAACATAATCAAAAGCTCTGGCAGAACGAGTATTCACATAAAATTGCCGTTTACTTATGGCCAAGCCCTATTAATGAGAGCTTCATATCTTCCATTTCCTGTGTTCTGTTGACTCACTTTATTATTTCTAAATGGGCACAATTAATTGCGAGGAAGACTTGCATGTGCTCATGCTACCTATGAAAATGCTGTAAAGATTCCCCATTCACTACAAAGTGTAGACTGTGCTATTGAAAGTAAAGTACTGTCAAGATAAATCAGGGAAAAACCCCTCAGAACCGAACGCTGTGTTGGAGAGTATCTTTAAAAGCTTATGCTTAAGAGGTATTCCCTTGGAATGCTTTAAAGAAACACTAGTTGTTTAAAGGGCTTCAGCCACCCTCTGCAATCTTAAGCATCAAAATGCTCACAGCTGGCTAGAAGAGGGTAACAAAGCAGTGCACTGTGGTCTCATTTCAAATCCATAGGCTCTGTGGGTTTCTGAGTTTCCCTTTTGTGTATGACATAGAGTAAACTTTCAAGAGAGTTAATATAAATCCTTACATTCTCATTCACCATCTACATGAATGATTGTGGATAAATAGTCCCATATGCAAAAGGCTCTTGTGTGAGTTCAGTTCAGAGCCTACCAACAGCTCCACTCAGTTTTGGGGTTTCCAATCCATTCTTAAATTGTTTAATTCCAAAGGCAAATCTTTTAATGTCACCCTCCTGTCTCCTTCTCTTTCCAAGCAAACTGTGCTACAAAAGCAAAGGCCTCCCCTGGCCTTGTTTACTTAGAGTGCAAACCCTATTCAACCCAGTGATGTCAGATTAAAGGAAGAAAGGGGAGAGAAATCAAAGCCTTAAACTGCACATAAAAGGCAATCGCTGGCAACCAATCTGTTCAACTTCCAACTATTTGCACTTTATGAATAAAGGTCAATCTGTTATTGGCACCCAAATGTTAATGTTCTTATGAGGGTTTAAGCTGCTTTAACAGCTGAATAAGTGAGAGTGAGCTATAGGGCCACACCTAATCATTCAGGTCCAGCTGGGACACGGGGGAGCATCTCAAAAAGGCAAGAGAGGCAGATAGTATGTGTATGAAGAGCTAGCAGAGGGGAGGTGGGCACACATTTAATGAGGGGTAAAAGATGAGATCACGTATAATACAGGAAACTCAAGACTAAATGTCCATGTGGCTTTTTTCTTATAAGTTTTACATGCTGCTTGCTATATATGGCAGCCAAGCCTGCCCTGGACCTGGACAGCCTTATATAATCAATTATCTTCTAATATGTATTTAATTTTTCTCTTTTAAAAACAATACCTCCAAATATTTCATAGCCCTTCAGTCACAGTATCCTCTGGATCAGTGGTAGACAGTACAGTAACGAGGCAAACCTCTGACTTCCTGCTTGTGAGAATGCCCTTCTCCTTTCCAGTCTACATCTGTACTTACGGACACAGTCACACTAGAGGCATGGAGTTTCTGAGTGAATAACAGTAGATGTAGGACAAAAAATCAACTTGGTCGTGCTAATGGTAGTCATAAAAGCATCTGTTTTTCCTAACACGTTTTCTGGTGGTGGCTAGCATAGGGACAATTGAATTGTACAGATTTAATTTCTGCATTAGGCAGAAAATGAGTTAATACAAGCCAAATGCCAATTTTTTGTGCCCTCTAAATTATTCCATTCCAACGGGATCAACACTTAGTAGAGGGCACATTTGGTTTTGTTCCTTCTATCTGTGAGGCAAACACATCTCAGAAGTTTCTGGGTCTGTTCCTAACTAAATGTCACATCGTCTCCATTGGCCTCCATTTCCTTATTAGTAAAATGACCGGTTACCTTTAAAATCCCATCCAACTCTGCTGCCCTCTCTCAGCTGGTTTCTTCAACTATGTAGTAGAGATATGTTACTGTGAAGTTTAAGGAGTTTCTTTAAAAAGACCTTTTACCCCTAGCAAACTAATGCAGGAACAGAAAACGAAACACTGCATGTTCTCATTTATAAGTGGGGGCTGAACAATGAGAATACATGAACACAGGGAGGGCAACAACACACACTGGGGCCTGTAGGGGTAGGGGGCCCTGGGGGAGGGAGAGCATCAGGATAAATAGCTAATGTATGCAGGGCTTAATACCTTGGTGATGGGTTGATAGGTGCAGCAAACCACCATGGTGCATGTTTACCTATGTAGCAAACCTGCACATGTATCCTGGAACTTAAAATAAAATAAAATTTAAAAAAACTAAAATGTAATACTTACGTAAGACATACTTATTACAAATAGGACTTTTATGAAAAATGGAGGGTATCCTTACAGCTAGACGTAGGAAGGGACATAGGGTTATTGCTTATCCCCACTTGCTGTAGTGTGAGCAGAAACATGCTGTTCACATCCTCCTTAATTTTCCCCATCAAGCTTTTGCTGACACAATTCCTTCCACTTGGCTCATCCTTCCCCAATTCTAACCATCTGTGAATGTGCAACCAGTTGAAATGACTATCTTTCCATCTCTTTTCTGTGATTACCCTTTATTCTGTGGCTTCACACATTCCTTGATGGATTATCATTGATTCTGTTCATTTTTGTCTCCTTTAGAAGACAACAAATCCTTTGAAGTCTGGAACTGTGCCTTTATATGCCCTCCAGTGCCTAGAAAGTTCTAGATTGTGTGGAACGCAAGCAATATCTCTTTGTTAAACAGAATTCAAATAATACTTTTTCTTCCTGCCTTCCAAATAAGCTAATTTATTTTTAAAATAGGTAATACCTTCAAATGTTATAAATGTCATAAGTTACAAATTAACTCACAAAAAGTAATTCTTCTTCCCACCCCTTCTCCCTGTCTCTCATTTTTCCTCCAGGAAACAACTACTATTATTGGTTTCTTGTGTTACTCTTTTTAGTTTATTTATTTTTGAAATAGTCTTCCAGGATGTAGAAAGTAAAACTGAGACCATATCTAAAAGTATTTAAATGCTAAAGGAGGGAAAGTCTCACAAACTGGGAAGAATCATTCTCTATTCTTCCCATCATTCTGTGGCAGACAATACTTTTCCAGGGCAAACAACGGCTGCCTCCATTCAGGAACTGCAGGTTCTAGTGGAGTGAAAAGATGTTATTAGCAAGCTGTGTCTTGTTGGGCAAGACCTTTAACCTTGTTGTACCTATTGGGTTGATGTCTACCAAATCTCCCATCCCCATAGTTCTCTGATTCTTATCTGAAAAAGAGTCGTTTCACAAAATCAGAGAATCAGCATTTGAGAAAATGAATTCGATATTAGCATTTTCAATTAGGAATTTAACCTTTGAGCTGGTGAAGTGGCTTTGCCAAATCAATCTATTTAGGAAATTAAAAATAAAATTAGGCACATTTATTGCAAATTAAAGTGAAATGGAATTGAACATTTCTAACTGGCGCCAGAAAAGAGATGTCCCGTGGAGATCATTGTGCCAACAAGGGAATGGGGCCAATCTCAAGTGCTACGCATTTCTTCTGGAGCTAGGAGCCTTATTTCTGCTTCTCAGTGGGCTTTGGGATAGGGGTAAGGCAGGGAGGGCTGTGAGATCTGTAGAACTCTGCTCAATCTCTTCTGTATATGTGTTGAGTCAGTCAAGGTCCTGGCAGGAAACAGGTCTCACACTCAAGCTAGGTAATCTGAAGAGAGTTTAATAATGGGCTATTTACAAATGGCTACACAGCATTTTCAAAAATAAAATGGGGAGATTCTAGTATCTTAAAGTTAGTAAATAGGAAACCACTATCACCCACTCTTTGGCTTGAAGGGGCAAGAAGGAGAAGAGGTATAGGAGGCTCTAGAGAAAGCAGCTACACAAGGAGGGCTCCTGATGAGAACTGAAGATTGCAACATCCAGCATCCACCCATCCTCCCTTGCCTGAACAACCCTAGTTCCTCCTTTAGGATTCCTCCAGGTATCTTCTCTGCTGGGAGAGCCTTCCCTGAGCTCACTGGTCTGGGCTGAGTACAGAGTTTAGTTGTCAATGTAAGAAATATGTGAATCTTCCTATCCTAGCACAAATCACACTGTTTTGTATAATAATTGATTCTTTACTTTTCTGTCTCTCTCGCATGTCTGTGTGCTTCTTGAGGACCCAGAATCTATCTTATTGGGCTTTTTTTTTCATAGTATCCAATCAAATGCTTGTGGAGTGATGGGAAGGAAGGAAAGGACTAGTTCTGTCTCATCTCATAGTGCTTTCGTGTTATTACCACTGGGGGACGTGGGCTACAGCTACAGGCAATTCTCTGAGTGCCTAGAGAGTTTTGCTCTGTATCTCCTGTCTAGGATTAGCCCTGAGGAGATCACCAGCTAAATGTGAAAGAAAGTTTGCTCAGAATTTTCATCATAGCATTGTTTAGGAAAAAAAATTAAAAGCACTAAACCTGATGAGGAAGATACATGAAAAGATATTTGTGATATATTGCTGTGTGAAAAAGCATCTTACCTACTAATAAGAGCACTATGATCATATTTTTGTAAGGTATATGCATAGTTATGTGAATTTGGACAAATTATTAATAATTACCCTCTTCACGCCTCACTTTCCTCATGTGTAAGCTACATCTACCTCAGAGGGTTGTTCTGAGGAGTAAATGCACAGTATACAAGATAGCTCGTACATGGTTAAGAACTCAGTATGTGTTCCCTCTTATTATTAATCTTATCTACATGCACAGAAAGATATATGAAGGAAAGTTCGCAAAATATTTCCACTAATTATTGTTATGCACTTTACTTTCTTCTTTGTACATTGCTGTGTTACTTGAAATTTTTTCACAATAATCATCTATCAGTTTTGCAACAACACTAGCTGCTAGTAAAAGAAGAACTCTTGTCTTATTTCCTCCACTACCACTTGTTAACTTTGTGTCTTTGGGGAAGTAACTGGACACCTCTGTACCTCATTTCCCTCATCTATAAAATAAGTATTCATTTCTTTTCTATCTCTGAAGATTTTGCTACAGATGAAATGAGTTATTGGATTTGTACATGTTTTTAGAAGCCATCAAAGTAATACACAAATATTAGATATTATGATTGTTAACTTAATTGGAATAATTTACTCGGATTTTTTTTCTACTTCTCATCCGGGTGTTTTGTGGGAGACAAGCCGCCTTTATGAAGAGGCCTTAGGAAGCCCATCAGTGGTGGAATTGCTGGTAACACCAATGACCTGTTACCATCCTCATGATGAAACTGAGAATTCCTAGCCACCGAATGATTAACACGGCATACTATGTTCTGAGCTTACCTTTGCCCTGGTTTGTTTTCATTGCCTGAGATCATTCTTCTCCCTTCTGGACACGTGTCTCTCTCCTTTCAGTATGAGTTTTGTGCATTTCCATGCTTTGTTGCTGACTTGCGATATTAACTTAACAAGAGTGAGAGGTGAGCCTATTAGCACACTTTTGGTGAATTGGTAAAAGGATTTAGAGGGTGAATCACCACGCTGGTTCATGAGGTTGAAAGGGCTTTGGGAGCCACTGGGGATTTGGTAATATTTACCGCAATTTCTGACGCATCATCTCTTTCCTCTTCACTCATGAAAAATGCAGACGCCTTCAGGGAGGAGGTCCCAGTCGAGCTTGACAGCATTCTGGGAACACAAGGAGGGACCTGTAGTCAAAATGCACAAATCTGAAGGAGGCCTTTGTGCACAGAAGCTGTCCTGCCTGTAAATGTCCCCAGTCACCAGATTAGTGCCAATTTATTTTCCAGTGAAGACACCAGGGGTCTGGGGGTGGGGTGGAGTTTGCAGGAGGGAGCAAAAAGGAAAAGGCATACTTAGCACCAACCACATGAGAGCCCTGCTCTGAAGTAACGGCCAAATGAGCGTCCACTGAGTGTCTGCTGATGGGCGTGTGCTGATGCCTCGTAAGTAGAACCGCGAGCATGTGTGCTTGGGTGAATATTAGTGTGATCAGGTTATGAATATTTCTTTTATGTGACACATTTAAAATTGTAATTAAATTTTTTGCTCTAGCTGAGAAATAACATTTATTTTTTTAACCATGAAAAACAAGTTTATCATAAGAAATGATGGATAAGTTTGAGTGTATTTCACTGCCTGCTCCTCCCTCTCCCCCCACCCTCCCCTCTGCCCCTTCACCCCCACTCCCCAGTCTTGACAACATGTTTTAGCACACATTGGGCTCTTGAGGTGTTCAGGATTTAAGGCCTCCCTGAGAACCAGAAGGAGTACATTTACTCTTTCCTTTCCCACTCTTTGGAAGGTTTCAGTCCAAGCTTATAAAAGTCATTTCCATTTTCAAAAGCAGAGTTGGTAAAACACTTTGGAAACTTTCCCTGCACCCCCATCCCCTCCCACCCCACTCCATCTTCTTGTTCGAGAAATGCAAATCTAAAGCCAATCCTATTTTATGTTAAAAAGTGAAAAACATTTCAATGTATTCTTGTCTTGTATGACTGGCTGAGAGCCTCTAAATCCCCACCATTTACCAAATTAAACTAATTGAAAGTGCTTCCAAAAGCCACATCTGTAGGCTGACGTTTGTCCCTGCCTTTCACTTTGGGCTCGGGAAACTGTTCTCCATTCCATTGATCCCTGAATAGTCATGCCTGTCAGGAAGCCACATCAGCCATTATCATTCTAATTTTACTGCCTTTCTTGGTCCCTAATCTAATTTGCAATGATGCTTAAGCATTTCGCAAGGCCATAGCACTTTCTTCAGAATTTCAACAAGAGCATTAAACCCCCAATTTACATTAATGAAGTGCACATTTAATTAGGGGAAAGGGTAAATGGAGGGCTCTTCAGGAGCAGTTTGTGTGATATGATAGGCACTCGAAAAGGAAAGGAGATATATCTGATAAAAGACTTGCCATCCATCAGATGGCTTGATTTCTTTCCCTCACCCCCCTAGGATTTTCCCAGCCTCATCTTCCTTCTCATTTCCAACCCTTCCATCAACTAACTCTACCTCTCTAAAATTTGCTCCAAAGCCATGACAATAAAATTATGAAAGCAGACCTGTCAACAAGGGAGGGCCGGGCATAGAACTATTTAAGAGGATCGTGTGGTTTTCAGTTCCCCTGCTGCCCCCCAAAGGGAAGATTAACTTGTTCTTTTAAATAATGAGAAACATAGGAAACCATCGCCAGTCTCCCTGTTTAATGCATGCATTAAGCACACAGGCTGAGGGGCACAGAGCTACACAAACTTGGCTTGCTGTTGCGAACAGGGTGGGCAGGGGAAGGGCCGGGGATGAATTTCTGGTCATAGATCCTATGCAATGAATTCATTACCACATATTATCTGAGATGCAGTGATGTCATGCCATTAAGTCACTGCCATAGGCTCTGCTGGGCAAGGCTTCTGACGCAAAGGAGGTATGCGTGTGTGTATGTGTGTGTATGTGTGTGTGTGTGTGTGTGTGTGTGTCCACATGCATATTTATCTAGATACAGAAATATTTTTCCTCCCTTTAGCCTTTTGAATATGAATTCTAGCTATGTATGCTTTTCTTTTGTTCTGGGGCTATCTGTTTTCTTTCTTACTTCGTGAGGTGTAAGGGTTGGGGCAAGGCTTACATATAGGTTTGAATTTTGGAACCTTGATTTCCTTCCTTCAAGTTCTCCTTCTCCTTCATCTGTTATTTAATGATGATGATGTTGATAACAGTACCAACTCTCTCAAAAATATAGTGATGTAAGTACAACAAAAGCAACTCAATAATGGAATGCTGTTTCATGCTTAACATTTTTGCAAAGTTGATATTTTGGAGCTAAAAATAAAAGCATTTGTTCACAAAAGAATCTTGTTTGCATGTCCCTCAAGTATAAAAGTTACATTTTGTGGAAAAAAGTATGTATTCTACTAGTTCACTAACACCAGCTAGACGTTAATATGTAGTTTAATACATTTTCTGTCTTCCCACTACCTTATGAAGATACTGGATAACAGTTTCCTGGTCTTTGGGATAAGCACCATTTTCAAGCACATACAATTGGAAATCAGTAGGAAATCACCTCTCTTCCAATTACATAGCCCATGGTTATTCAGTATGGCTCTGAGTAGCAGGAAAGAAGCCCCTAAAATTAATTATCTACTTGTACCTTGAACCTGAGCAAAGAAAACTAAAGATGGCACCACAAGGACAGGGGAAAACAATGGAAAACTGATGAAAAGTAAAAGAGGTAAATAATATGAGGGCATTAGATAGTAAACAGGAATTTGAAGAAAAAATGCAAGGGAACAAAAAAATTAAGGAGTGAGGTAAGAATATCACTTTTACATCCTGAATCTTGGGGTTCTTCGTGGTTAGATCTGGGTCAGCTGTGTGATGTTGGGCAAGTTACTTTACCTGTTTAATATTTGGCTTTCTTATTTGCAAAATGAAGATAATAACGGCACTTTATAAGATTGTTCTGAAGATTACATAAAATACTGCACATGAAGGGTTTACTGCCTGGCATCTAATAAACAATAAATGAAAAAAAGAGAGAACATAGTAAGTATTCAATAAATGTTATTAGAGAAGAAAGGAAACACAGATACATTACATGAGTGAAAACCCTGAGAAGGATCGAGAAAGTTATGAAAGAGAATACATACTTAAATGAGAAGTGACAGGGGTGAAAGAACAAATCCCATTTAGATAATAAACAATGTTAAGTGTGTGACCTTCTGTCTTTTCTATGGATGTGTCCAACAGAGACATGGTTAAAGACCATGTCAGAGAAGGAGAAAATAAACTAGGTGGATGATACATTTAAAAATCTGCATTCTAGGCTGTTAGAATGTAGCTTTCCCACTTTTCCACAGTGGAAATTGATTTTTAAAAAATGCAAATAGGGAAGTTTTGCCTATGTCTGGGATTAGAGGTGTGCCTTTGTTTTCCATGTAAAGCACAATGGGTATCTCTCTGAAAATGACAGTACCTGACTCCTTTTCCTCCTCGTCTTCCTCTACCATCCATGGTGGATATTTTAAAGACATCTCTTTCTCCAATTGTCTTCCCAGAGTCAATCACCGTTGCAAGATATTTTAGACTTCTTTAGAGATATCTATGTATATATGTGAGACTCAGGTTTTAAATTTTGTTCTTTAATCCCTTCTGTCATGCCCAAGCCTGGAGGAAAGTCATGTCAAATGTCAGAACATTCTATTTTTTCCCCCTAGTTATAGAAGTAATACTTGATCATTATTAAAAAATTAGGAACAATGCAAAATTCTATGAAGTCAGGTTTAGGAAGTTTGTAGTTTACAAACTAAATGTGAAAACATTAGCCATGAGGAATATGCAGAGGGACAATTTCGTTGCTGTGGACTGGTACAGATGTGCTGAGTATTTGGAAGTGATTAGTGATCTGACATCCACTGACATCTTTAGTTCTCATTCCCAAATGTGAGTACTCAATGCTGTGAAAGACAGGTAGCTGAAAGTATAACAGACAGTAGGCTAAGAATTGGCATTTGTCATGTTGGCATTTGGTACAGAACTTGCTGAGGCACCTATTGGCCCAGTGGCTTCCTGGAGCCAGAGCAGACTCCATTTGTTGCCCAGGAAAGGCCTCATTCAGGGCCTTCATCTACAATTACAACATTCATTCCTCATCTCAGAGGTGAAAGGGCTGCTGTATCCTGGTGGGGACTAATTCCTAATGAAACGGGTGACGGTTTTGTATTTGTGTATTTGCACAGCAGATGGACTGTGACTACTTCTCAAGTAAAAGAAACTTGGTGCAGGCCGAAGGGTGTACAGCCAAGACTTGCTCTGAGGACTATGAGGCTGTTCATGGAGAGGGCTGAGCGTGGCCCTTATATAGTATTGCCAGGTCTCTACCAATAAACGCCAGCAAGGATTGCCATGACCTGGACTTGGAAGCTGTCTCAGCCTATAGCACAT